>NC_000015.10:37216267-37519298 GCF_000001405.40 Homo sapiens | reverse complement strand
GGCTTGTGTCCAGCTGTGGCAACTAGTGTTATTCTGTTTTGTTTTCCATAATGCTTTTTCTATTTCTCTCTTGCTTTTTTTTTTTAAGAGACAATATCTCACTCTGTCACCCAGGCTGGAGGCTAGCTTACTGCAGCCTCAAACTCCTGGGCTCAAGCAATCCTCCCACTTCAGCCTCTCAAGTGGCTAGGACTACAGGTGCATGACATCATGTATGGCTATCTTTTTTATTTTTTGTAAAAACAAGGTCTTGCCACATTGCCCAGGCTGGTCTCAAACTCCTGGCCTCAAGTGATCCTCTTGTCTGAGCCTCCCAAACTGCTGGGATTACAGGCATGAGCCACTGTGCCTAGCCCTTTATATAAGAATATCTCATCCTGGACATTCATATACTTTCTTTTTGTTTTTATTTGTAGTTACAATGGCTAGAAATATATACCTTCTTTATCTGCAGTATTTACTTACTTCAGTGCTATTGACCAATTTTTTTTAATCCACTGAGATTCATTTTTGCTCTTGGGTTGTGATATAATTTGTCTCTGTGTTCCCACCCAAATCTCATCTCAAATTGTAATCCGCATAATTCCCACATGTTACAGGCAGAACCAGTGAGAGGTGATTGCATCATGGAGGTGGTTCCCCCATGCTGTTCTTGTCATAGTGAGTGAGTTCTCAGGAGATCTGATGGTTTTGTAAGTGTTTGATAGTTCCTCCTTCACAAGCTCTCTCTCTGGCCTGTTACCATGTTAAGATGTGCCTGCTTCCTCTTCTGCCATGATTGTAAGTGTCCTGAGGCCTCCCAGCCATGCATAACTGAGTCAATTAAATCTCTTTTTTAAATAAATTACCCAGTCTCAGGGAAATCCTTTATAGCAGTGTGAAAATGGACTGATACAGGCTGTGAATCAGATCTAACTTATAAGCAGTGAAAATGTTATTCTTGACCTTTAGACTTAAAAGCTTTTGGATACTATATGCTAAATTGTATATAGTATATTGTACTATTTACAGTAGTCAAGACAAAGACTATTTTGTCATTATCAGAATATATCCCCATATATATAACAGAGTGATGAGAACTTTCTGGTTCTCAAACCCATTCTCAGTCAGATCTTGCTCTGGAACACAGGGTAATGCAAAGTTTTCATAAAGTACATTTACGGGATATTTTTGCCTAGATTGTCTATGTTTAGGAAAGTGGCCCATTATTTGCAGCTGATTCATTTTAAAGTTTTGCCAAAGTACTATACAAGTAACAAAACTATTACATTATGTGTTAATATACTAATAATTACTCATCTATATTTAATGTTTTTAAAATACCAAAATGATGACTTGAGCTTAAAAACAAATAAGAACAAAGAAAATCTCAAATAGTATGAAAATATAAAAGTTTAAAAGTATCAAAAGCTTGCTTTTTCAAGATCTCTTTAAGAGATCTTTTCTCCAGACTCTTTTATACTCACGTTTGAAGCTGAAGGTGGGCATCTGGAAGAAGCATCTATCATAAACCATAAGAATGATTAATCCTCCGGGTCATATATCCCCCCACCATTTGCTCATGGCCAGATTCCTCTTGAGCTTAAAACTAATTCCATTCATGCTTTGGGCCTGGAGCACTGCAGTCATTTGCATAACACATTTTGCACTCACTGGATGCCAAGTGTAGATTAATAATCTGATTTGGGGAATAGTGAACAATTGTTTGGGAAAGTTCAATTGTTACTGCTTTCGGGGTGCTTGAATTACAAATCTAGTGACAAGTAGCATATTGATCCAAACATGTTTATGTCATAGAAATAAATATCATAGAAATATCAATATTTGAATTTAAAATACGGCAGTCTTGCCCGACATTCACTGCCTTTTGGCAGGCAATTCAGTGAATCTGTGAATGTATTCATGCGAATAATTGTTCATGATCACACTAAATCTCTTGACTGCTATTGTTAGCTCAAACCACACAATGCCATAGCAGGGTTTTTGGAATTATTTTTGAATTTTTCTGAATGGAATACATACCCAGGGGCCCAGAGTGGGATTTTAACTGGGTTGCATTTATTTTTGGCTCTCTATCTATCTGTTTGCTCATACCTCACAGCACTTCAATCCAAAGCACATTTTTATAAAATGTAGAATTACTTGGTTCAGGTAAGCATTATTTGAATGCTGCTTTCATGGTACCAAAGAGATAGTTAGAGAGTCAATTATTTTCCTATTTTGAGAGGCCATAACAATCCCAACACCACCCCTCACTAATATTGACCAAGTGTATGGGTCTTCTTAATAATGTTTTTCTTTGTAAATGATCTTTTGGCCAGAGCCATGAGACCACAATCAAGTCACTGGAAATCCCTGAGAAAGAAAACATTTTGTTATAAAGGGTTTATGAAAAATGACACTTTGTTGCAGTTTTTCCAAGCAAATTATAACTGCCTGTCATGCAGACAAGGGTTGCCATGGTAAGCGGTTTTTTGAATAGGTAAACCAAATAAAAGTGAGACAGAGCATGTGTAAAGCTCGTGGGAAAGGGAAGTTCAGGTTGCCTGGAGCAAGAATAACCTCAGTATTTAAAGTCACGGAAGAACCCAACACCCTTTCCCCAAATGTAGTGCAGGCAAATGTCTATTTTCTTTCTCAGGCAGTTTCTTTCTAAAATGTTTAGCATAGAAATCACTAATGGTTTGTAGGAGAAATGGCTGAATCATAGTACTATTATCATTGTGGTAGGGTTAATTGTTTATTGATTCTAAAAAAAAATGAACCTCTCTTCTCGTCAACGTACATCGTTGTCATTGTGCCACGTATAGAACAGTATTTCAGATACTTAGTCTTCAAACAGTAGCCAAAAGGCAGGTTAAAAGTTTCACAATTCTAACACATAAGCTTATTAAAATTATTCAGTAGGACACTGTCACTTCTAAGTAGCCCTAATTCAAGAACTGTTATGTTTATATTATGATTTCACTTGCCAAAATGTATCAATACATATCACATTATTGAACACACAGCTTTTAATACCCTTTCTATGATGCTGGCTCTCTCATGTAAGTGTCAAAAACTCCCGTCCAGTATTCCATTCTCCCATCCTCAGACTTGTACCTACATGTGCCTACAAATATCTTTATTTGCATGTCTAACAGATAAATCTATTCTTCAATATAGTGGGCTGAGCATGAGCTAAGTTGTCCCTCTCTACATAAAGTCTGTAAGAATGACATATATTAGCAATTAAACAAATAAATAAATCATGCATAGAAACTAAAAGTTAGAAAAGGGAATACACTGGCAGAAAATTCTTAGAAGACCAGGTATGGTGGCTCAAACCTATAATCTCAGCACTTTGGGAGGCCAAGGTTGGCAGATGGCTTCAACACAGGAGCTACAGACCAATCTGGGCAACATGGTAAAACTCTGTCTCTACAAAAAATACACTCACCTATGGTCCCAGTTATGTGGAAGGCTGAGGTGCAAGGATCACTTGAGCTCAGGAAGTTGAGGCTGCAGTGAGCCATGATGGAACCACTGCACTCCAGCCTGGGCAGCAAAGTGAAACCCTGTCTCAAAAAATAAATAAATAAATAAATAAGAAAACTCTTAAAAATTCTGGAGGATGTTCATATCCTTCACCCACTTTTTGATGGGGTTGTTTGTTTTTTTCTTGTAAATTTGTTTGAGTTCATTGTAGATTCTGGATATTAGCCCTTTGTCAGATGAGTAGGTTGTGAAAATTTTCTCCCATTTTGTAGGTTGCCTGTTCACTCTAATGGTAGTTTCTTTTGCTGTGCAGAAGCTCTTGAGTTTAATTAGATCCCATTTGTCAATTTTGGCTTTTGTTGCCATTGCTTTTGGTGTTTTAGACATGAAGTCCTCGCACATTCATGCAGCCAAAAGCCACATGAAAAAATGCTCATCATCACTGGCCATCAGAGAAATGCAAATCAAAACCACAATGAGATACCATCTCACACCAGTTAGAATGGCAATCATTAAAAAGTCAGGAAACAACAGGTGCTGGAGAGGATGTGGAGAAATAGGAACACTTTTACACTGTTGGTGGGACTGTAAACTAGTTCAACCATTGTGGAAGTCAGTGTGGCGATTCCTCAGGGATCTAGAACTAGAAATACCATTTGACCCAGCCATCCCATTACTGGGTATATACCCAAAGGACTATAAATCATGCTGCTATAAAGACACATGCACACGTATGTTTATTGCGGCACTATTCACAATAGCAAAGACTTGGAACCAACCCAAATGTCCAACAATGATAGACTGGATTAAGAAAATGTGGCACATATACACCATGGAATACTATGCAGCCATAAAAAATGATGAGTTCATGTCCTTTGTAGGGACATGGATGAAATTGGAAATCATCATTCTCAGTAAACTATCGCAAGGACAAAAAACCAAATACCGCATGTTCTCACTCATAGATGGGAATTGAACAATGAGAACACATGGACACAGGAAGGGGAACATCACACTCTGGGTACTGTTGTGGGGTGGGAGGAGGGGGGAGGGATAGCATTAGGAGATATACCTAATGCTAAATGACGAGTTAATGGGTGCAGCACACCAGCATGGCACATGTATACATATGTAACTAACCTGCACATTGTGTACATGTACCCTATAATAATAATAAATAAATAAATAAATACATAAATACATAAATAAAAAATTCTGGAGGATGGCAAGCAATAAGATTGAAGCAATAGGATTGGAGTTGTTGGATACTGAAATTAGGAGGAATCATCAGAAGGCTAGAAAGCAAAAGCAGCCAAGTGCATCAGCACTGTTATAACTGGAGCCAAGCTGCTATGGCAGAGACTTTTGTCTCCAAGTAGTGGCAGGGGTGTGTGAGCTTTGGTCAGAAGACAGTGCCACATCCAGATGGCTAGCAAAGGCTGGGAGAAATAGCATACACGCCCAGAGGATGAGCTACCCAGGTATAGCACCAGGAAGTATATACCACTCTTCCTTAGAGCTCTCTGAGAAATAGCCAACATAGCTTCTCAGCAGGCACTCCTATCTCTCCCCTTAGCAGGCCTTAGGCCCATATAAATACTATTTAACAAGAAATCACCATATCAAGGATGGACACACAATCAAGGATCTCCAAGCACTGAGGAAAACCAAGAGCCTAAAGGCAAGACAATAGAATCAATAAATGAATTGCTTACACTAGAACAAACAAAAATAATAAAGCAAAGAGAAAAAATGTGAAAATGAATATAATTGATACCTGTATTGAGAAAAATAAAGGAAAATAGAATACTCATGAAAAAGGAACATGTTTTGTGCAAAAGAGCCAATTCAGAATCTCAGAAATGAAAAATACAATTGATAGTTAAAGAAAACTCAATGAATTCTCCCAGAGAGCCCCTTAGAAAGGCTGTGATGTGAAGGATATACACAAAAATTCTAGTGTTCATTTTGTAGTAACTTCAGGTTAAGAGAAAATAAAAAATGGAAGGAGGCAATATTTAAATGACTAAAGATAAGAAGCCCCCAGAAATTAAAAAAAAAAGGTTAATCAGTCTTTAGACTAAAAGTACACACAAGCCAAACATAATTTAAATTTTAAAAAAGTCTATTTATAATATGCTGGTATAAAATTTAAGAAACTGAAGATAAAGAGAAAAATTATAAACATTACTAAAGGGATACAAAAGCAGATTATTAATACAGGAACAAGATTTAGATTAATATCAGTCTTCCCTGAAGCAACCCTAGAGAAACAAGAAGATGATGGAGCAATATCTTGGAGGCAGTGATTAGGGAAAGTAGCTTTATCCTAGGATTCTACAGGCAAGTAGACATTCAAATGTGAGGGTAAAATTGAGACATGTTTTCATAGAAATAAGACAGAAAGGCAGCCAAGACTCTAAAAGTTTACCAGTTTATCAGTTCCACAGATGTCTGAAAGAATATAGTAAAGTAAGAGGAATGTCTACTGGCCTATGAAATGGACTACCATCAAAATGGAGCTCCCGATTCCCCCTCCACAATTCTGTCTCTCTCCCAATCTTCTCCATCTTGGCCAATGGCACAATTATCGACCATGACACTTGTGATTCACTTTTCACTCTTCCTCTTCATTTTTCATCTTCCTCTACATTTAATTCATCATATCCTATAGGTTCTATCTTCAAAATTATCTTGAATCTATTACTTTTCTCCAACTGTACTGCCATCACCCAAGCTCAAGCCACCTTCATCTTCTTCCCATACTGCTGCAATAACCTCTTCCTGGGACTTTGCTCATTTATTTTCCTCCTCAGAGTACTTGCATTTACTGTCCCCTCCATCAGTAATATTCTTCCACCACTCTTCATCTGGATTGTTCATTTCCATTTTTAGAGTCTTAGCTCAAATTTTGCTTCTTCCACCTTTTTTTTTCTTGACATTTGCTTTATAACACCCTGTTTTCTGCATGATACTTATCACAGCCTATAATCACTTTTTAAACTATTTTATTGTCTATCTTTTCCACTAACATGTAAGCTGAGGATAGTCGTCCCACTTGTATTGTTTATTAAGTTTTCTTCACCTCAAAGGGGCTCATTTTTTTCTGAGCCAATAACACACTTACTGACATAGAACATTTGGATGACAGCTACCTTCCCTGATTGAATGGACCCTAGGAGTTGCATGAGAAAGATCTTGAACCATATTAGGAATTGAGGTTCATAACATTCCCCCACAGCCATTCATACAAAGACAATTGTCCAGTAGACTAGAGGCAAGAAGGTGTGCAGGAGATAACCCTAACCAGAATCACAAATGGAAATGATGTGTCCCCTGTAATAAATTTACCACAGAAATGGGAGAAGCCTGAAAGGTTAGCCAGACTGAGCCTGGGGTTTGAGGCTGTTATCGCCTACCCTCCCCTTTTCTCAGCCTCCATCATACATATGTCATTTGGGAAGGAAAGGTTTTGGCAAGTCTAAGCCATTCTGCTCTAGAATACTCCCCTGAAAGAGCTGAGCTTAAGATAAGTGTTTTTGCTAAAATTCAGAGAGGAAGTGATGAGTAGCAGAGACTCAGGGGAGGTTGCCAGTTCTGACAAATGTTGTCCAGAGGAGGTCAGCAAACAGAAAAAGTACAGAAACAGCCTGAGGCCAGCACAGTACTGTGAGTGTGGAACAGTGGTCTGTGGGGCTGTAAGCGAGGGCCTTAAATCCTGCATGAAACACCTGCCTCCTCCCCATGGAGACTTGCGACCACCCTCTCCTTGCCAGAGTCTCTCAGGGGACAGTCATCTTTTCTTAGGAACCATAACTGGTTGGGGACAAACACATTACACATTTGACTCTCCGGATTCTCAAAAATGTTTGGGGAGGACACACTCAGAAAAAATAAAGACGCTATACTAATCTAGGAATTAGAGGCTCACAGTGTTGAAATTTGGGGATTCTCAGAACTGAGACATGTCTTGAGGGTACAAAGATATAAAGGCATAGTTTCTCTACTTATAGAGACCAAAATTAATTAGAGTAAAAATAACAGTGATGATGAAATGCAGTATTGATTCTTCTGTGTCAAGGTCTCTGCTAAACACTGTACACACTTTATCCATTTTAACTTTTCAGCAATCATATGAATCAAGTACAATTATTATCAATTTTTAGATGAAGGAAATGAAGCTTGTAATGATAATGTTACTTATCTAAACTGATAAGTTTTGGAGCTAATAGAATCCAGACAGTCCAGAGGTCACCTGCTTCATCACTGTGCTCACTGACTTCCTAACAGTACTGAGGAAATAAACCTATTAAACATTACAGTCACAATGCAGTTTCTAGATATTCCCTAACCACAATTAAACCTGAAGTTGCCCCTTGAATTCCTGGGGGCAGAGCATGGCTACCACACACAGAATATTGAGGCGGTATCTCTATAGAAGGGCTTCATTAGCTAGTGGATGCTTGGCCACCCATCTCCAAGAGGCAAAAGAGGAACCAATGCTTGGAGCAGGGCTGCAGCTGATTTGGTGGTGTAGGAAATACAAGTTTCCATGGGAATGCCCATGTTTGGCTGGGGAAGTCAAGGGAAGGATTATCAGAAGCAATAACATTTGAATTGACTCTGGACTAAAAATACAACATGAGAGGACTACGGTCCCATGGCTTAGGTTGAGGACAGCACTCTATTCCATGCAAAAATAAATGTGAGGAAAGCAGAGCACCAGGGCTGGAAAACTGGACTACTACATATACTATCTAGACAGAGACTCAGAAAGATAAGATAGAGACTCAGCCAAATGAGATATTAGTAAGAAGGCAAAATTCCAATGAATAAAACCACAGGTTAAGGTCAGAGTGGCATCAACCAGTAAGCTGGCTTGAAACTAATTCCTTGAAAATTGAACTAGAGCTTTAATTCCCCTAAAAACAGGATTGATCCCAACAAAGGAAACTGGGGAACTTTTAAAAAAAGAAGAAAAAGAAACAAACACCAATACTAGCAGAAGAAATGAGATAACTGAATTAGAAATGAACTGAATGAAACTGAGATGAAGAAATTCATACATAGGATCAACGAAGCCAACAATTGGTTCTTGGAAAGAATAGACAATATGTATAGATCTCTAGATGCATTAACAAAAAAAAAAGAGAAGACACAAATAAATACAAAAAAAATGATGAAGATGACATTACAACTGATCCCACAGAAATACAAAAGATCCTCACAGAATACTATTAAAAACTTCGTGCACACAAATTAGAAAATATAGAGGAAATGGATACATTCCTAGAAACATGTAATCTCCTATGACTGAATCAGGAAGAAAA
Organism: Homo sapiens; assembly: GCF_000001405.40. Lineage (NCBI taxonomy): Eukaryota > Metazoa > Chordata > Mammalia > Primates > Hominidae > Homo > Homo sapiens. The sequence goes on along the minus strand of NC_000015.10, from coordinate 37,510,491 downwards.
TGAAAACCTGAAAAGAACAATAACAAGTTCTGAAATTGAATCAGTTATTTAAAAAAAAAAAAAAAAAAACCTACCAACCAAAAAAAAGCTCTGGACCAGATGAATTTAGAGCTGAATTCTACCAAAGGTACAAAGGTACAAAGAATGGTACCAATCTTACTGAAACTGTTTCAAAAAAATCAAGGAAAAAGGGGTCCTCCTTAACTCACGCTATGAAATAAGCATTGGCCTAATAACAAAATCTGTCAGAGACACATACCCAAAAGAAAACTTGAGGACAATATTCCTCATAAACACAGACCTAAAAATTCTCAACAAAATACCAGCAAACTGAATTTAGAAACACATCAAAAAGCTAGTTCACTGTGATCAAATAGGATTTAAATCTGAAATTCAACGCTTTGTATCTGGAGTACACAAATCAATAAAGGTGATTCACCACATAAACAGAATTAAAAGCAAAAGCATATGATCATTTCAATAGATGCCAAGAAAGCTTTTGATAAAATCTAACATCCTTTCATGACAAAAATCCTCAACAGACCATATATTAAAGCAACATACCTCAAAATAATAGGAGGCATCTATGACAAACCCATAGCCAACATCAAGCTGAGGCAAAAGCTGTAACCATTCCCATTCAGAACCACAACAAGACAAGGATACTCACTCTCACCACTTCTATTCAACATAGTGCTGGAAGTCCTAGCAAGAGAAATAAATAAAAGGCATCTAAATAGGAAAAGAAGACAAACAATCTCTTCGTACTGATGATATGATTTTCTAGGTAACCTAGAAACCCTAAAGACTCTGCCAAAAGGCTCCTCAACCTAATAACTGACTTTAGTAAAGTTTCAGGATACGAAATCAATGTACAAAAATCAGTAGCATTTCTATACAACAGTAACAATCAAGCTGAGATCAAATCAAGAATACAATCCCATTTATAAAAACCATCCAAAAATGAAATATCTAGGAATACAGCTAACCAAGGAGGTGAAAGATCTCTACAAGGAGAACTACAAAACAGTTGAAAAAAATCAGAGATGACACAAATAAATGGAAATATATTCCATGCTCATGGATTGGAAGAGTCAATATCATTAAAATGACCATACTACCCATAGATTTAATGCTATTCCTAACAAACTACCAATGTCATTTTTTTACAGAATTAGATAAAACTATTTTAAAATTCATATGGAACCATAAAAACATACTGAATGGCCAAAGCAATCCTAAGCAAAAAGAAGAAAGCTGGAGGCACACATTACACAACTTCAAACTATACTACAAGGCTGCGATAACTAAAACAGCATGGTACTGGTACAAAACCAGATACTTAGACCAAAGAAACAGATTAGACACCCCTGAAATAAAGCAGCACATCTGCAACCATGGGATCTTCAACAAAGCTGATAAAAATTAGCAATGAGAAAAAGACTCCCTATTCAATAAATGGTGCTGAGATAGTCATATGCAGAAGAATGAAACTGGACCCTTACCTTTCGACCATATAAAATATTAACTCAAGATAGAATAAAAATTTGAGTATAGACTTCAAACTATAAAAATCCTAGAAGAAAATATAAAAAGTATCCTTCTCAATGTTGGCCTTGGCAAAGAATTTTTGGCTAAGTCCCCAAAAGCAATTGCAAAAAAAAAACTCCAAAAATTAATAAGTGGGACCTAATTAAACTAAACAGTTTCTGCTCAGCAAAAGAAACTATCAAGAGAGTAAACAGACAACCTACAGAAAGGGAGAAAATATTTGCCAACTATTCATCTGACAAAGGTCTAATACCCAGAACGTGTAAACAACTTAAACAAATCAACAAACTAAGACAAACAACCCAATTAGAAAATTGGCAAAGGACATGAACAGACACTCCTCAAAGGAAGACATGCAAGTGATCAACAAATATATGAAAAAAATGCTCATCATAACTAATCATCAGAGAAATGCTAATCAAAACCACAATGAGATACTATCTCACACCAATCTGAATGGCTACTATTAAAAATTAAAATTATATCAGCCATAGGCAATGCAAAAATCCTCAATAAAATACTGGCAAACCAAATCCAGTAGCACATCAAAAAGCTTATCCACCAAGATCAAGTCGGCTTCATCGTTGGGATGCAAGGCTGGTTCAACATATGCAAATCAATAAATGTAATCCATCACATAAACAGAACCAATGACAAAAACCACATAATTATTTCAACAGATGCAGAAAAGGCCTTCAACAAAATTCAACATTCCTTCATGTTAAAACCTTTCAATAAACTAGGTATTGATGGAACATATCTCAAAATAATAAGAACTATTTATGACAAACCCACAGCCAATATCATACTGAATGGGCAAAAGCTGGAAGCATTCCCCTTACTGGCAGAAGACAAGGATGCCCTCCCTCACCTCCTATTCAACATAGTATTCGAAGTTCTGGCTAGGCCAATCCGGCAAAAAGAAAGAAATGAAGAGTATTCAAATAGGAAGAATACCCCATCATCTCAGCCCAAAAACTTCTTAAGCTGCTAAGCAACTTGAGCAAAGTCTCAGGATACAAAATCAATGTGCAAAAATCACAAGCATTCCTATACATCAATGATAGGCAACCAGAGAGCCAAATTATGAATGAACTCCCATTCACAATTGCTACAAAGAGAATAAGATACCTAGGAATACAGCTAACAAGGGATGTGAAGGACTTCTTCAAGGAGAACTACAAATCACTGCTCAAGGAAATAAGAGGAACACAAACAAATGGAAAAATATTCCATCCTCATGGATAGGAGGAATCGATATCATAAAAAAATAGCCATACTGCCCTAAGTAATGTATAGATTCAATGCTATTCCCATCAAACTCCCATTGACATTCTTCACAGAATTTGACAAAACTACTTTAAAATTCATATGGAACCAAAAACAGCTCACATAGCTAAGACAATCCTAAGAGAAAGAACAAATCTGGAGGCATCATGCTACCTGATTTCAAACTATACTACAAGCCTACAGTAATCAAAACAGCATGGTACTGGTGCCAAAACAGACATATAGACCAATGGAACAGAATAGAGACTGCAGAAATAACACCATACATCTACAACCATCTGATATTCAACAAACCAGACAAAAACAAGCAATGGTGAAAGGATTCCCTATTTAATAAATGGTGCTGGGAAAACTGGCTAGCCATATGCAGAAAACTTAAACTGGACCTTTTCTTACACTTTATACAAAAATTAACTCAAGATGGATTAGAGACTTAAATGTAAAACCTAAAACCATAAAAATCCTAGAAGAAAACTTAGGCAGTATGATTCAGGACATAGGCATGGGCAAAGATTTTATGATGAAATCACCAAAAACAATTGCAACAAAAGCTTAAATTGACAAATGAGATCTAATTAAACTAAACAGCTTCTGCACAGCAAAAGAAGCTATCATCAGAGATTTATGTGGCCAAAAAACATATGAAAAAAATCTCACCATCACCGGTCATTAGAGAAATGCAAATCAGAACCACAATGAGATACCATCTTATGCCAGTCAGAATGGTGATTATTAAAAAGTCAAGAAACAACAGATCCTAGTGAGGCTTTGGAGAAATAGGGATTCTTTTAAATTGTTGGTGGGAATGTAAATTAGTTCAACCATTGTGGAAGACAGAGTGATGATTCCTCAAGGATCTAGAACCAGAGATACCATTTATTTGACCCAGCCATCCCATTTTGGGGTATATACTCAAAGGAATATAAATCCTTATGTTATAAAGATTCATGCACATGTATGTTTATTGCAGCACTATTCACAATAGTAAAGACAAGGAACAAACCCAAATGCCCATCAACGATAGAGTAGTTAAAGAAAATGTGGCACATATGCACCATGAAATACTATGCAGCCACAAAAAGGAATGAGATCATGTCCTTTGCAGGGACGTGGATGAAGCTGGAAATCATCATCCTCAGCAAACTAGCACAGAAACAGAAAACCAAACTCCACATGTTTTCACTCATAAGTGGGAGTTTAACAATGAGAACACATGGATGCAAGGAGGGGAACACACACACCAGGGACTATCGTGTGGGGGTGGGTAAGGGGAAGGAGAGCATCAAGACAAATAACTAATGCATGTGGGGCTTAAAACCTAGGTGATAGGTTGATAGGTGCAGCAAACCACCATAGCACACATATACCCAAGTAACAAACTTGCACGTTCTGCACATGTATCCTGGAACTTAATAATTAAAATATTTTTTAAAATTCAAGTTTTATTTTAGATACAGGGGATACATGTGCAGGTTTTTTTACATGGCTATACCCTGTGATGCTGAGGTTTAGGGTATGAGTCTCATCACCCAGGTAGTTAGCATGGTATCCAATAGGCAGTTTTTCAACCCATGACCCCTTTATTTTCCCTGCTCTAGTTGTCCTCAGTGTCTCCAGTTGTCATGTGTGTGTCCATAAGTACCCAACTTTTAGTTCCCACTTATAAGTGAGAATATGTGGTATTTGGTTTTCTGTTCCTGCATTAATTTGCTAGGGATCATGGCCTCCAGATCCATCCATGTTACTGTAAAAGACATAATTTCATACTTTTTTATGGCTGCTTAGGATTCCACAGTGTATATGTACCCCGTTTTCTTTATTTGATCCACCATTGAGGGGCACCTGGGTTGATTCCATGCCTTTGCTATTGTGAAGAATGCTGTGATGAACATGTGAGTGCAGGTATCTTTTGGTAGAATAATTTGTTTTCTTTTGGGTATATATTGCAATAATGGGATTGCTGGGTTGAATGGTAGTTGTTTTAATTTCTTTGAGAAATCTCTGAACTGCTTTCCACAGTGGCCAAACTAATTTACATTCCCACCAAGAGTGTATAAGTATTCCCTATTCTCCATAGCCCTGCCTATAACTAATATTATTTTAATAGTAGCCATTCAGATTGGTGTGAGATTATGTTTATTGATTTGCATATGTTGAACCAGCCTTGCATCCCAAAGATGAAGCTGACTTGATTGTGGTGGATAAGCTTTTTGATGTGCTACTGGATTTGGTTTGCCAGTATTTTATTGAGGATTTTTGCATCAATGTTCATCAAGTGTATTGGCCTGAAGTTTTCTTTTTTGTTGTTGTGTCTCTGCCAGGTTTTGGTATTAGGATGATGCTGGCCCCATAAAATGAGTTAGGGCGGAGTCTTTCCTTTTCAATTGTTTGGAATAGCTTCTGAAAGAATGGTGCCAGCTCCTTTTTGTGCCTCTGATAGAATTTGGCTGTGAATCTGCCTGGTCCTGGGCTTTTTTGGTTGATAGGCTTTTCATTACTGCCTCAATTTCAGAACTTGTTATTGGTCTATACAGGGATTTGACTTCTTCCTGATTTAGTCTGGGGAGGTTGTATGTGTCCAGGAATTTATCCATTTCTTCTAGATTTTCTAGTTTATTTGCATAGAGGTGTTTATAGTATTCTCTGGTGGTGGTTTCTTTTTCTGTGGGGTCAGTGGTGATATCCCCTTTATCATTTTTTATTTATCTATTTGATTCTTCTCTCTTTTCTTCTTTATGATTCTAAACAGTAGTCTTTTTTTTATTAATTTTTTAAAAAAAACAGCTCCTGGATTTATTGATTTTTGAAGGATTTTTTCGTGTCTATCTCCTTCAGTTCCACTCTGGTTTTAGTTATTTCTTGTCTTATGCCTGCTTTTGGAATTGTTTGCTCTTGCTTCTCTAGTTTTTTTTTTTTTAATTGTGATGTTAGGGTGTTGATTTGTGATCTTTCTAGCTTTCTGATGTGGGCATTTAGTGCTATAAATTTCCCTCTTAACACTGCTTTGGCTGCATCCCAGAGATTCTGGTATGTTGTCTCTTTGTTCTCATTGGTTTCAGAGAACTTCTTGATTTCTGTCTTAATTTCATTATTTACCTAGGAGTCATTCAGGAGCAGGTTGTTAAATTTTCATGTAGTTGTGTGGTTTTGAGTGTTTCTTAATCCTGAGTTCTAATTTGATTGCACTGTGGTCTGAGAGACTGTTTCTTTGATTTCAGTTCTTTTGCATTTGCTGATGAGTGTTTTACTTCCAAATATGTGGTCTATTTTACAGTAAGTGCCATGTGGCACTGAGAAGAATGTATATTCTGTTGTTTTGGGGTAGAAAGTGATGTGGATATCTATTAGGTAAACTTGATCCAGAGCTGAGTTCAAGTCCTGAATATTCTTGTTAATTTTCTGTCTCATTCATCTGTTTAATATTAACAGTAGGGTGTTAAAGTCTCCCACTATTATTGTGTGGAAGTCCAAGTCTTTTTGTAGGTCTCTATGGACTTGTTTTATGAACCTGGGTGTTCCTGTATTGGGTGCACATATATTTAGGATAGTTAGCTCTTCTTGTTGCATGGATCCCTTTACCATTATGTAATGCTCGTCTTTGTAGTATGTTTTGATCTTTGTTGGTTTAAAGTCTCTTTGTCAGAGACTAGGATTGCAACCCCTGATTTTTTCTGCTTTCCATTTGCTTTGTAAATTTTCCTTCATCCCTTTATCTTGAGTTTATCTGTGTTTTTACACATGAAATGTGTCTCTTGAATGCAGCACACTGATGGTTCTTGACTCTTTATCCAATTGGCCAGTCTGTGTCTGTTATTGGGGGCATTTAGCCCATTTACATATATGGTTAATATTGTTATGTGTGAATTTGACCCTGACGTCATGATGCTAGCTGGTTATTTTGCATAGTAGTTGATCCCATTTCTTCATAGTGTCATTGGTCTTCATATTTTCCTATGTTTTGCTGTGGCTGGAACTGGTGTTTCCTTTCCATATGTAGTGCTTCCTTCAGGAGTTCTTGTAAGGCAGGACTGCTGGTGATGAATTCCCTCAGGATTTGCTTGTCTGAAAAGGATTTTATTTCTCCTTCACTTGTGAAGCTTAGTTTGGCTGGATATGAAATTCTGGGTTGAAAATTCTTTTTTTTTTTTAAGAATGTTGAATATTGGCTCCCATTCTCTTCTGGCTTGTAGGGTTTCTGCTGAGAAATCTGCTATTAGTCTGATGGGCTTCCCTTTGTAGGTGATGTGGGCTTTCTCTCTGGCTGCCCTTAACATTTTTTTCTTCATTTTGACCTTGGAGAACCTGATGATTATGTTTCTTTGGGTTGGTCTTCTCATGGAGTACCTTACTGGGGTTCTCTGTATTTCCTGAATTTGAATGTTGGCCTGTCTTGCTAGGTTGGGGAAGTCTCCTGGATAATACCCTGAAGTGTATTTTCCAGATTGTTTCCATTCTCTCCGTCTCTTTCAGGTACTCCAATCAGTTGTAGGTTCAGTCTTTTTACATAGTCCCATATTTCTTGGAGGTTTTGTTCATACCTTTTCATTCTTTTTTCTCTAATCTTGTCTGCCTGCCTTATTTCAGCAATATAGTCTTCCATCTCTGATATTTTTTCTTCTGCTTGATCAATTCAGCTACTGATATTTGTGTATGCTTCACAAAGTTCTCATGCTGCATTTTTCAGCTCCATCAGGTCATTTATGTTCCTCTCTAAACTAGTTATTTTAGTTCACAGCTGCTCCTCTAACCTTTTATCAAGGTTCTTAGCTTCTTTGCACTGGGTTAGAACGTGCTCCTTTATCTCAGCACAGTTTGTTATTACCCACCTTCTGAATTGACCTTCTGTCAATTCATCCATCTCATCCTCTGTCCAGTTCTGTGCCCTTGCCGGAGAGGTATTGTGATCATTTAGAGGAGGAGAGGCACTCTGGCCTTGTGGGTTTTCAATGGTTTTTGTGTGTGTTGTTGTTGATTCTTTCTCATCTTCATGGGTTTGTCTACTTTTGCTCTTTCAGGCTGCTGACCCTTTGATGAGGCTTTCATGGGGACTTTTTTTGTTGTTGATGCTATTGTTGTTGCTTTCTGTTTTTCTTTCAGTAGTCAGATCCCTCTTCTGTAGGGCTGCTGTGGTTTCCTGGAGATTCTCTTCAGGCCTTACTCATCTAGAGTTGTCACTCGAGGAGGCTGGAGAACAGCAAAGATGGCTGCCTGCTCCTTCCCTTGGGATCTCTGGCCTCAAAGGGCACCAACATGATGCCAGTAGAAATGCTCCTGTATAGGATGTCTGACAACCCCTGTTGGTGGGTTCTCACCCAGTTGGATGGCACAGGAAGCAGGACTCATTTAATGAGGCATTTTGGCTCTCCCTTGGTGGAGGGCGTGGGCTACACTGGTTGGGGAACCCACTCATCTGGGCTGCCCAGATTTCTCAGAGCGACTCCCTTGGCTGGGTGTGGGGGCTCCCCTGCCCCGTGTGGCTCTCAGGTGGGCTGCCTGCACCACATTGCTCTTCCTTCCTCTCCATGAGTCATGCCAGCCACCTAGTCAGTTCTAATGACAAAATCTGGATACCTCGGTTGCCGGTGCAGGATTCACATGTTGTTTTGGATCTTATCGATGGGAGCCTGCAATCACCACTGCTCCTAGTTGGCCATCTTGGCTCCACTGAAATTTTTCTTTTAAGAAAAGATCATGACCTTTAAAGGAGAGATAATTTCTGTCTTATTTACCAATGTATTTCCAGAACTACTTTAAACTCAGAACATTGTAGACAGAGTTTTTACTTGTTGGTGCTTGACACCAACTGGATACTGAAAAATATGTTGTTACTTCTTCCTCATATTATTTTTAAATTCAATAATATTTGCCAAATTGGGAATATTATCAAGAAAACTAACCTACTTACCTGGTTATGGATTGCTTAAAAAGTTTTAAAATATGATCATATTTGTAAAATATTGTATATATAGAACACATTTTCAAATATTTTATAGTTCCCAAATATATACTTGTTTATCTTGGCATATAGAAAAAGCAATAAAGAAATACAGAAATGGTTACAATATGTAAAATTAATTGAATTATTGTAGAATATAATATAAAGGACTAGATATTCAACTCTAAAATTCAGTTAGTCCGATTTATAGTTTTCCATTTTAATATTTGTTTTAGAAAATTGCCATTTATCTGCTTTTAATTTGGTAGTGCATTTTACAATTGATGGCATATTTGGTTCAATAAATTATTAGAGAGTCAGGAGAGTTTTTTCTGAGAAGGCACATTTTCCCCAAACCTGGCCCTCAACAGCAAACTGGTTAAACTTGCAAGTGTCCTTGCATCTGGCATATACAACCTACAGCTAGGCTATCTGTGTCAGGTATCCTGGGGTCACTGACTTCTCTTCCAGAATTATATTCCTCAGAAGGATCCCGTCTCATCATCTCCACCTGGAGGAACAATAGGGGCCCTTCTTCTCAGGGAGCTACAACTTGCTGCTAATATTATAGAGCTAATATTATAGAAATTCACATACTGATGGACAGAAAGAAGTAAGAAAGAATTCCTAGGAGAGGTCTATGACTATGATTTGGTTTTTTATTGTCTACCAAAGTGTAAACTGTAATGGCAGAGTCTGTCTTTCTCTCTGGCATATGTGTTAATGTGCCCAAAGGCTAGTAAGCATTGAGTATATTTAATATGCATGATAAATAAAGGGATAAAGCCACCAATTTTGCCTCTTTAATGTTTATTTTTCCAAAAATACAAACTTCACTGTAAATAAAAATTGATAAAACTTGCTATCAATCTGAAATGCTTTGAAGTAGGAAGTAATAGTAGAATAATTCTGATTCTGTACAAAAAAAAACCATGCAAATTTTTTATTGGAGAGTGGTCTACCTCTCCTTATTCCCTACCTCTTCATGCCAGAAATCAGAAGAGGAATGGATTAGGATGAGACTGAGGCTTCTGGGCACCAAGTACAGTGCAAAGCCCCCCTGCAGCTACTAAGCCTAAAATCCATGTGTTGAATGACACAAGTAAGGGAGGATGTGGCATTCAACATTCTAAATTGTGTGCCCTGTAGTTATAGCTTACTTATAGTGAAATTGGGCCCACTTTCTGTTCCAACCCATTCTTTTTCATGTGTTGAGCGGAACTAAGGCAGAAATTGAACCAGAAGTAGCCAGACATGTTGGTCAACTATTGCTTTAACAGATGCATTCTTTCATTCTGGCTCAATCTCAAATTCCTGTACTTCATGGATCTAAAAGAGGAAGAACATTTCACTCTGTATTCATCATCTGGAATGCCCGAGTGTGAGTTTTATAAATTTTTAAATATACTTTATAAATATTCTTTGATATACATTCAATATTTAATAAAATTGTTAAATATATATAAAATCAAGCCAGCTGTATGGCTCATATTCTGAGCTACATTGCCAGGTATTTATGAGTCCAAAGCCACTGTATTATGGTCTGATGTCTGACAAACTGGGAAGAAGGCATGTTAACTAAACACAGGGGTACGGGGATGAAGCATTATTAGGCCCAATGTTATCTCTTTGGATTATGAAGTGTCAATTTTCTCTCTGATACTGATGGTTTTCTACTTTGGGAAATGGGTCTTTCTGGTTTGTTTAGACTGACAGTGCTGATAAAGCCAGAATTGTGAGTTTAATTTTTGAAATGACAACTCAGTTTGGCACAGAGGAAGGCTCTTATGCTTAGCCCCTTCTTGTACTACTTGCTGAATGCCAGCAACCTATTGTAGAGAAGGTTCAGTGCAAACATGTGGCTGGAGCCCTGCAACTATCAATGTTGTGTGGAAAAACAAGTGTAAGTACATGTACACACTAGTACACCTTTCAGCCATTCATTTCTTCTTTCAGCCATTTGTTATTTCATTCAATAAGCTATAGCTGAATAGTCACAGGATACAGAATATATTAACAGCTAGTGACCAAAGACAAAGTCATCCTGTTGGATTTGAATCCAGGTATGTTAAGGCCAGTACATACTTTGAGTGTGTGGATTTTATCTAGTTTGTTTATAACTTGGCTTTGATTGGTTTTTAATTTTCTTTATTAAAGACAACATTTAAGAAGTTGTACTGAATTTGATTTATTTATTTTTATCTTATTTATTTAGTTTTTTTTTGAGACGGAGTCTTGCTCTGTTGCCCAGGCTGGAGTGCGGTGGCGCTACCTCGACTCACTGCAAGCTCTGCCTCCTGGGTTCACACCATTCTCCTGCCTCAGCCTCCTGAGTAGCTGGGACTACAGGTGCCTGCCACCACGCCTGGCTAATTGTTTGCATTTTTAGTAGAGACAGGGTTTCACCATGTTAGCCACTTAAAGCTATGATATAAATAGATTTACATGAAAGGTATCAATTAGCTTTGGTAAACTTGTAGCTTACTTCCGTTTTTACAAAACTCCCACTTAGTACTTAAGGCTTTTTCTTCTAAGATTGTGCCATTTTTATATATTTTGTGTGAGGACTTCTGATAAATTAGTAACGAAAAATGATTACTTGGAACTCTTGCTCTTATGTTATTACCTCCTTTGGGCCAAAGATCTCAGGTTATGGAATTAAAATTGACACAGATTGCTTTATCAAATGATAGTAAGATGTGGTTTTGTTATACCATATAATGAGAAGTATATGCATGATACCTAAAAAAATGAACAACTCTCCAAGTTCATATTCTGTAAATTCCAAAATTAAGGATACATTATTTAAATACACTGTTTTCCATAGTAGAGTCACACCCATTTTTTCCTTTATATCATTCATATTTACCAGGCCTTGCCTAAAAGCTCCAGGTTTGGTCTTTGGGCTGGCAATACAGTTTTTGCTTCCTAGCTGTGATACAGGAAGATATACAGTCAAAAAATTCAACTGCAAGTGGCTGGATAATTAACTTCACTTTTCTGAGTATCTATTTTTTTGTCTTCAAAATGGAAATTATAATGTCATTCTTTTTTTTTTTTTTTTTTTTTTTTTTGAGACGGAGTCTCGCTCTGTGGCCCAGGCGGGAGTGCAGTGGCGCAATCTCGGCTCACTGCAAGCTCCGCCTCCCGGGTTCACGCCATTCTCCTGCCTCAGCCTCCCGAGTAGCTGGGACTACAGGCGCCCACCATCACGCCCGGCTAATTTGTTTTGTATTTTTAGTAGAGACGGGGTTTCACCGTGTTAGCCAGGATGGTCTCTATCTCCTGACCTCGTGATCCGCCCGCCTCGGCCTCCCAAAGTGCTGGGATTACAAGCGTGAGCCACCGCGCCCGGCCAATGTCATTCTTATTTGTAAGGATTAAATGTTTATAATGGACATAAAGTTATCCATAACTATAAAATGAGCATAAATATAACTTCATATTAGTCTTATATTAGACTGTGGTAGCGCTATATTAGAGGTGATGATGCTTTCTCAAATTCCTTGTAAGCTTCTAGTTCACTAAAGGCAAAAATCTCTCCATTCAGTCACAAATATATTTGATGGTATTGCAGTGATATTTATGTTTCATTTGCATATGTGGAAAACTGACTAAACCTGCAGATTTTATTTTCACTTATAATCCCCATGTGTCTGATGACAAAAATTCCCCGTCTGTCTTTCACAGAAGGGTAATTATTGGTGCTAAGGTGTAGAGCGTAATGTTTGGGAATCTCTTAAACAGTTTATCCTGTACTTGAATTCTAACAATGAAAATAGAAAAATGGTAGGGATTTCAAGATGGACTCTGAGGAATGATCAGACAAGCATGCTTTTATTCCATTTCCATCATTTTGAATTTTAAATCACCTTTTAAAGGGCACTAACTCATTCTTGCAAATTAATCTGCTTTCCAATTAATGTGCCCAACATGACAATAAGACCAGTTTTAGCTTGGCTAAGCAGACCAGTCAACCAGGAGTGTGTGACTTGAGGACTCGGAAAGCTTGTTGGAGTCCCATTTCCTTCCCCCTCCTTCCTCTGGGGCTCTTTTAACAGCTTAGATTTAATTAGGCCAGCTAATCCACCTAAAACCAGTTGATAGAAGAGTTTCTATAGAAACCCTCCCACTACCAAACAATATAATAATCTCCAATATTCCCAATACCAATTACTACATGGAACAATGGCAGTACATTTATTAATCTGGATCAGTCCTTTCCAATAGAAATAGATTGTGAGCCATATATATAATTTTTAAATTTTCTAGTAACCATGTCATGAAAAAAGTAAGAAAATTTTAAAAACACAAAAATCAAGTGAAATCAATTTAACAGCATATTTTATTTAAACATCCTATCCAAAATATTATCATTTCATCTTGTAACCAATACAAAACGTTGTTAATGTGGTATTTTATCAATTTTTACATGTCTTCAAAGTCGTGTGTGTATTTTTTACTTATAGCTCATTATAATTTGAACATTTCAAGTGCTCAATAGCCACATGTTGTTAACAGCTACCATATTCTACAGGCTAGGTCTAGATTATTAGAATTCTTTCCTTGATAAGCCCATTTATGACATTTACTGATATATAGAAGTTTCCTTCTTTGTCTTTTTATTTTCCAGACCATGCACATTTTTGACATGCATTAAATTTTATAAAAGTAGACTGCGAATTGTAGTGATGAGAAATGCCAGGTTTTATTACAAGAAAGTGTTCATAAATAGAAATGACTTTGTGTTTTCAATCAAAAAGTAAATAATGCTTGCATGAAAATATGAGCATCAGATTTTCCAAAGGAAAATTGAAGAGTGGTATGCGAGAAGAAACCATTTATATACTTTATGAATGTAGAGATGTGTTATATCCCAAGTTTCTATAGAAAAATAGTGATTTTGAACTACAAGAAATGTTAAGTCATAGTGCAAAACAGTGCTTAGTGGTATTCTGGTCTGAAACATACCTATTAAATGCTTGCCTTAGGTGGTTAGGATTAAATACCATACCAATGAAGATTGGCCCTGGCATATTGGAACTTCTAAGTTAAAATTAGTCATAGGAATGCAAACGTACAGAGATGTACTGGTTTTCTAAAATACCCTCTTCACTATCACCTTCAAAATAATTTTTTTCTCAGTTTTGGAGTGTTTGGGAGAGTGATTCTTTCCTTTCACTTTTGTTTACTCAATTTAGCATAATCTTGAGGAAATGGGAAAATGAATAGAGAGATTGCATGCCCAGAAAACCATTCACATCCATGCAAGAGAACACATATCCTTAATATTTTCCTAGCCCTTCCTTGTTCTAATATCTAATATCTTATAGCCTTAATGAATATGGCACATGGGCACAATCACAAAGATATTATGCCAGAAAAAAAGTGTCCTCAGCACTGTTGAATGTCTGAGGCCAGCCAGTGTCTGTGGAATTCTTTTGAGGAAGAGTGGTCTCAGAATCACCAAAGGCATCTTATTCATTACCAACATGGTATCTTCTGAAAATGCATCTGCCCATGGAAGGGGGGGCATATTGTGTTTCTATAGCTCAAGATCTCAAGATATTTGAAAACTTATTATTAGATAATTAGAACTAGTAGTAGTAAAATTATTATTGAAAACACATTTTATCCATAGATGTTACAAATAGTCAAAATAAAAGTAAATATGTATCTACATACAACTTGCATATGAATGTTTAATAGCAGCCTTACAGTTGCCAAAATTTGGAAGCAACCAAGATGTTCTTCAGTGAATGAATGGATTAACTGTGGTACATCTAGACAATGGACATTTTAATTATTATTTTTCAAAATTTTATTTCAGATTCAGGGGTTACGTGTGCTTTTTGGTTACATGGGTATATTGTCAACTGGTGGGGACAATGGACTATTATTTAGCACTAAAAGAAAGCTAACAAGCTTGAGCTATCAAGTCATGAAAAGGCATAAAGGAACCTTAAATGTATATTAGTGAGTAAAAGAAGCCAATCTGAAAAGGCTACTTACTGTATGATTTGAACTACATGACATTCTGAAAAACGCAAAACCATGGAGACAGGAAAAAGATCAGTGGTTGCCAGTGGTGAAGGGGGAAGGAGGAATGAATAGGTAAAGCACAGAGGATTCCTAGGGTAGTGAAAATACTCTGTGTGATACTCTAATGGTAGATACATGTCACTATACATTTGCCACACCCCTGTACAACACCTAGATTAAATCCCCATAGCAACTATGGACTTTGGGTGATAATGACATGTCGATGTAGGTTCATCAATTGTAATATATGTACCACTTTGGATGGGGATGTTGATAATGGAGGAGGCTATACATGTATCAGGGCAAGGGACATATGGGAAATCTCTGTGTCTTTCTCTCAGTTTTGTGGCGAACCTAAAACTGCTCTAAGAAAATAAAGTCTTCTAAAAAAAAGTCACCATAGATAGGTAGGTAGGCTTAAAATAATTTACTGTCATTTGAAAATTACAGTTTATTCATTTCTTACAAAGCATATCCAAATACCGGCCTACTGTATTTTGTTCAACTTAATGTCTATATAATTTCTCATGCCTGAGGGGCATGAGAAAAGTTGATTCCCAGAGCTTCACTTTCAGAGATTCTACTTCAGTAGCTACAATGTGGGGCCCAGAAATCTAAATGCATTCAAGCCCTCTCAGATGATTTTGAAGATCACATTGAAACAGACATGACTCTGTCAGGATTAATATGAATCGGAATTGTGTATAGATGTAAGAATTGCTGTCTTAGCAGATGGATTCATTATTGCCAGCAGTGCTAATAAGCTTAAGGTCAAATCAGTTAATAAATGTTAGTTCTTTGTGTGGGCAATTTTTGATTAAGTTGTGCTTTCAACGTTTTAAAATACTGTACTAAGTACAGATTTTTAAGGCATTCAGCCCCTTAAAAATCAATACATAATTTGCATTTTAGGAAGAGGAATGGAAATGTTCAATAGAAGGACATCATAGTCATTGGTCATTAAAATATTTGGCTCTATTTAAGTGCTAACTATGAAAAGTGGAAATAAATATAGGTACTTTTCTAAATATAAATTAGTTCTCTCAGATGGAGGTGATTTTGTATTTGCCAAGATATCCCTTTATTTACATTATTAAAGAAATGCTTTTATTGTTTGAAATGACAAATTGCCCTTATTTAAATGCTTATTAAAAATGGCAACATCTTTTTTCTTCAGAAATATGCAGAAATATTTATGTGATGGATTTTATCAGCACAGCTCCATCTGTCAACAGGTAGTTGTATTTGCTTCTCAGTAGAATTGGTGACAGATTGTGACAATTTGATTTTATCCTAACAAGCAAAAAGTATTTCAGAGCCTCATGGCTGAACCTGGCTGCACCTTCACTTATTTGAAAATTAAAGTTTTATTAGCCTTTTAGTTATCATGTTTGCTGAGAAATTATATCATATATTTCATAGTGGAGACAAGAATCACAGTGATTCAATATTGATACCAAAAAGATAAATGTTTTCTTTCTATATTTTAGAAAATTATAATTGTTATTATTCTCATAAAGAAAATAAAAATTAAGGTATATTTTTATTCAAAATATATTACATACAAAATACATGAAATATTATATCCAAAATTAAATATTTTTGTTTGCTACAAGCAATTAAAGTTATTTATTTTATACTATCAAATGATGAAAATAGAAAAACCTTCTCTAATTTCTAATTCAAAGAAATTTTAAAACAAAACATTCATAAGTTTTAGCATCTAAATTTGCTCCCTGGAATGGACCATAAGCTATAACAATATCTAGCCCAAGAATTACGATGAAATGTGTTCATAAGAATTAAACTCATTTTTCCTGATGAGTACTAGGTTCATAAGAAAACAGAAATTACAACCAGATTTATTTTTTTCCTAAAGTGACCAAAAACTGAAGAGGTAGAAAAACGAAACTGAAAGGCTTACAACTTTGTTTGCTAAAGAACAGGTGGTATTATGTTTCTGTTTATAAAATAATTACTTGGAGATTATTAAAAGAAACATGGAAAACCAAGAAAATTGGCAAAATTAATCAGAACCCATTATCTACAATGCAGAAATAATTACTATGTCTGTATTCCATTTCTGTATGTCTAAGAAGTATGCAAAAATATTTTTATATAATGCATATTTAAACTTTCACATGCTGCTTCAATGAACTTCAACTTTAAATCATAAAGATGTTCTTATGTCATTCATTTTCTGTATTTTCCCTTTTTAGTATTATGTAATATGCCAATGAATTGTAATTTATTTGAGGACTTCTTTAATTTTTGGCCTTTAGGGTTCCACGTTTTTACTGTTATAAATAGTGCTGTGATAAACACACTTATATGTTAATCATTATCCACATTTCCATAGGAAGAACCTTATAAGTATGGTAAAAGTACCACCATTTCTATGCCACTAAATATGTATTGCCACACATGTATTATTACACAGTAATATGTATTGCCACATAATACACAATATCTATTGCTTTCCACAAAGATTATGCCAATTTACACTTCCACCCCAGTGTTTTAAAGTTCTTGTCTCATCACACCTCAGGAGAACAGATGAATCTCAATATGTTTTATGTACGCAAGAGTACTGTTCCAGTGGTCTTTAAAAGCAGCAATTAAATGAGGTCAAAAGGAAGAGCCTGACTTAATCCATGAAAAATATGACTTGACTGTTAATTAACTGACCCTAAAGCTTAGTGATATTTTTCCCAATTAGCTCTTAGACCCTGAACTTTTCCTTGTGCTGATGCAAGTCAGGCTAATAGGGAACATGTGATGGCAATCATTAATTACATCGGATACTTCATATCAGCGGTATAGTTATTGCCCATTTTCCTGTTTGTTCTTAAAACTTGTAGTTTTCTGAAGGATTGACTGTGCCTGTCATTATCTCTTGGCCCTTGTCATAGTTTATGAGAGACACGTACAGAGAGATATTTGCCAAAGATAAACTGGGTCAAGGAGATCTTTTGATTGCCAACATATGATACCGTGTCGAGTTTTGCCATTTGTTGATAACATTGTTGTTGTGTTATTATTTGGTGATAACCCTCTCTCGCTCCCATTTTTTAATACTCAATATGTAGACTTGATGCATAAATTATAAGGAAAAGACTGAATTGAGTTTTGCTCTACCCTAGGGATCTAAAATATGAGGCTTAAAGTTCTAAAACATTTAGTCTGGGTAAGTCAAACTATTAATATGCCTGGTTAGCCTCCTCTATTAGCATCACCCATGATGTGTTCTTGGTCTATAGATTTGCGGGTATTTACAGTTTTGTTTGTTCTGACGTTCCCCATAGGGAACTTGACTTGATCTGGTATATTTGAGGGACTTACCTAAAAGGCTTTAAGTAAAGCTGAGCAAGTAGCATTAATAGATTTATCATAGTTCTGGAAACTCTTAACAGTCACTGTGCAAGGTAACAAACTACATCTCCACTGGACTGTCTCATCTTAAGTAGCATGAATCCCTAAAACTATTTCACCTGCCACTTTAATCTCTCAACTGTTGGCAGCTGTATCCTCCAAGACTTTAGTTCAATATCCCTGTAGTCATCCTCAACTATTCTCTTTCTATTATACCTAACAGCTGATGTATGAAACAATCCTATCAGTTTCGCTGTTGAAATGTTTGCAGACTCCATTATTTCTCGTCACTTCTACTTTTACCTTGATCCAAAGCACCATTATATCTTGGCTGATTTATTGTCAGGTAAGACAAATCATGTCACTGCCTTCTCAGAATTCTGAAATTCATTGTTCTCCATCTCATTCAAAATTTTTAAGAGTCCCTAAGGTGGCCCGTGCTGACCCCATAACCTTCTTTCCCAACTGATCCTCTTGTTCACATCACTTTGGAGTCATTGTGACCTCCCTGTTACTCCTCTGCCCCAGGACTTTTGCACCAGCAATGTCCTCTATCTGGAATGCTTTTCCTCCAGGTAACCACTTAACTGAACTCTTACTTTCTTCAATGTTTTGCACAAACATCATCATCTTAATGAGGCTTACAATGACCACCTTATTTAAATTGCAGCCCCAGGACTGAGGGGTTTTCTTAACTCTGCTGTATTTCACATTTTTTTCTCACCTATGTGACATAGTTATTTACTATTTTTATTGTTTTGTGTTTGTCTCTTCCACTAGAAGGCAAGGTACCTGAAGGCAAGGATCTTCGCTTGCCTTACTCATTAATAAAAATTCCAAGAGTCTAGGACGGTGCTTTGCACATGAAATAAGTGGAATAGATAGTTGACAAATAAATGCCCCCAAAACAAACAAAAGAAATTAAAAATCCGAGGTTAGGAATTAATTCTTAAAATGCTAATGAGCATTAATGGTAACTATGGAGATGCAGCTGCATAAAAATGTGCCCCCTGCTTCTAACTACTCCTCATCACCTTGGGTTTTCATCCCAATTCACACCTTTAAACCGGCTTGATCAAAACCAACAATAACTTCTACCTTGGAAAATTCTTATCTCCCTGATCTTTCAGAAGCTTTTTTTTTTTTTTTTTTTTGAGATAGATGTGCCTTTATTAGCTAAGCCACTACTTGAGGAGGATGAAGAAGGGGTGGCCCCAATGCGGGGCCAGCAGTGCTTCACGGGCTTGTAGGTGATGGACAACTCGCCCAGGTAGTGGCCGATCATCTCCGGCTTGATCTCCACCTGGCTGAAGGTTTTGCCGTTGTAGACGCCCACCATGCTGCCCATCATCTCAGGCAAGATGATCATGTCCTACAGGTGCGTCTTCACCACTTCCGGCTTCTCCATGGGCGGTACCTCCTTCTTGGCCTTGCGCAGGCGCTTCAGCGGCGAGTGCTGTTTCCGCCCCAGACCCGGTTCAAACGCTGCTGCCGACGCGCACTGTATAGCTGCATAAGCTGCTCGTAGGGCACGTCCAGCATCTGGTCCAGGCCCACACCGCGGTAAGTGAACTTGCGGAAGGTCCGCTTCTTCTGCTCTACGTCTGTCATCTTGCCGCAGAAGCATTTTAAACGGTCATCCACGTCCCTTCTCTTGAAACTTTATACTGTGAATTATAGGTTATGATACGCTCCTGTTTACTCTCTAACTTGAGTCTCCTTGCTTGGCTCTTTCCCCTCTGTTCAGCCTGTGTATATTGGAAAGACCTAGGACTCTGTTCTGGGCAATCTTTTTTTTTTTTTTTTTTCCTATTGAGTGATCCTTTCCGCACTTGCAATTCCATCTATGTGGTTATTACTGCTAAATGTGTGTTTTCAGCCTTGACCAGACTGCCATATTCGTATATACAGCTGTATACTTGACATCAGCATTTAGGTGTCTAACAGGCAGCTTTAAGGCAACAGGGTTAAAATTAAACTCTTGATGCACTGCCCTTCTGCCCTTCCTAATTCTATCTCCTCATCTGAGTAAACACCACCAACTATTACCCAGTTGTTCAAGCAAGAAAATCTCGATGTGATCTTGATTCCTCTTTCTTTCTCATCTCTCCTTAAGTCTAAGGTATAATGAGGCCTTTAAGCTTCATCTCTAATATACCACAAATCCAAGCTCTGGTTACCAACTCTGCAGCTGACATCCCTGCCCACTCACACGACTTCAGGAGTCTCCTACCCATTGCCTTTGTTTCTGTTCTGTGTTCCTAGAATTCATTGTCTACACAGCAGACAATCAGATTAGATCATGACACCCGTGCTTAACTCTACAAAAGTGTCCTATTATAGTTAGAATAATCCTGAAGTCTTTATTGTGTTTTCTAAGATGGACACGATACATCCCTTTGCGCCTCTAAAACCTCATCTCATACTACTGTCTATCTCATGCACTACCCTTAAACCATCTTGGTCGTCGTCTTCTTTTTTTTTTTTTTTTTTAACTGAATAAGCTCTTTTCCCCTTCAGGGCTATTGCTTGATGCTTCTCTGCCTGGACAACTCTCTGTTACTTCAGATGGACCCAAATTTTACCCTCTCAAAGAGGATTTCTTGGATCATTTACTCTAAAGAGCACCACCACTCAGTTACTATCACAATACACTTTTACATTTGTTTTCCCCTCAGTCTTCAAGTAGAATATAAGCTACACCAAGAGCTCAGACTTTGTCTTTCTTGTTCAGTTCTGTATCTACAGTGCTAAGTATAATTTCTTAGTATAATTTCTGGCTTAACAAATATTTTTGAAGAGATTGGTGAATAAACAAATAAAAGAATAACTGAATAAATTAGCTACAGTTGAGTACTTTAGTGGTTGAGCATTTATTTGGTGTAAAACATTACTAAACAAGTTAATTTCAGACACCTGAAAAGCCCTTTTTATACACATCTCTGAAACCTTGGCCAATGTATGTATCTCGAAGGTAATTGGATATTATGGCTGGGTTTCTTTCTTTCATCTTTATAGATGGAGAAACTGAGATACAAATTGACTCTCCAACATTACTGGTAATCTCTGGGATCATTAAACCTTTATTCAGAATTGCTAATGAAACTTTTGGCCCATTTCCAAACATAAGACCATATTTTGTAAATATAATTGATTTGCTAGTATAAGAGACAAAACAGTGTGCACAGGACTGCATTTATTTGGCTGCTTTCTTTTTTGCTCAAGATACCTGGCCCTTTCCTATCTTAGTATCAGAGACCTATAATGCTAATACTGAGTTTTGGGGGAGACTGCAGAATGAACATGAGAAAGAAAACCAAGAAGCAGGTTATAATTTGGCTAAAACTTTACTATACTCTCTTTGGATGTAAATCTGGACAGATGTCTGCCACTTACCATGATAAAAAACTTATTTTCTTGTTTTCAGAAAAGTAAGCCAAATAATTCCACTACCATTTAACTAGCCCATTTTATTTAATGAGTAGGAAAACATAAGACTATGTTTGCCCTATCAATGATGATCACTTTCCTAGTAGAATGGACCCAACAAGAGATATGACAATATCTTAACTTGAACTGTTCATTAACTATCTGTATAAGGGAAGAACAATTAAAGTAATCAAAAACAAACTTTCCAAAATACTTCAAGGATGATCAGAGAGTCTATCTTTATCAGATGAAAGAATGTAGCTACTCAGAAGTTACTGTTACCAGAAACTAAGATGAAAGGAAACATTGGTGAGACAGAAAATTTGCCACAGAATTGATTGAATAAAAACATGAAAGAAAACACATGAAGCATACAAGTATAGACCTAATTGCAAAGAGGAGCCATTCCATGAAATGCAATTAAACTTCTAGAGAGATCAAAGCATTCTCCCACAAGGGAGGTGTAAGGGCAAAGAAATATTTCCCTTATAATTAAGAAACATTACCAAAATTTAGAGGAAAATGCAGATTATCTCCCAAGTTTGGGGGAAAAAGTGAAATTACTATAATAGGATGAATTGTTGGTTATAATGGCATATGTATAAAAAATAAATGCAATTAGTTCAAGGTACTTTAGTAAAATAAACACCTTGCACTGCAATCAAATGTCATCTCAAGGTATTTTTATACTAATAGTTACTTCATTTTATAATATTTTTTGAAAATTAAATATACCAACTGAGTGGAAATGATTCATAATTCTCTATTATGCTAAATGTAAACACAGAAGACTGAGTTTGTAATGCTATTCTTTTGAATTGCTTGAAGCACGTGAAAGACAATGAACTTCACTACTTTAAGCAAAGTAAAATGGAGAAGCATATTTTATACATAGAATATATGTATTAATGACTTTCTCACTGAGAGTTTTTCTTACCCCAAATCCTAGCTAATTTAGGTTTGATTTTGTTTCCAGCTTTTTACTAATAGGAAAGAAAGCAGATGGCAGGTGGAAGTATAAGTTTTGTTGTTATTGTCTGTTTTCAAAGAAGCCTAGGACAGCAAAACAGAAGCCAAGAGACTTTAGAGTCAAATTCTTTTAGGGGAAAAGGTATCAGGACATGTGTATCAGCAGGCAGTTTCATAGCGCTTTAACAAGAAGGTTCCATGCATTGTGTAAGACCACATAATCATAGATTGTATGAAGAGAGGTTGAAAAATGTCTACTCAACTATATCTTACAGGGTAAAACGTTACTCACAGTCTCTCAAACAATTAAAGGATTCTATGTCTGAGACCAGGTAGTATCCTGAGGCAGGAAATAATCGTGTTATGTCATAAAATCAGAAATGCATGAGAAACAAAATAAAGCAAACCTCTTATATATTTTATTTCCAACAGAGCACTTTCAGGTAGTTTGTTAAAATTACAAGAAAGGCAGTTTTTGAAATGTTTATATTAAACAGATTCTAAATGAAAATGAACTGTTACAGTTAACTATTATAGCTAAGTAAAGATATATAAAGCATCATTGATATTCGTTTTAAGTACTTTGCCATCTTTTCATAATATTTATAAAAATTTTAACAGATTAAACTGAGTTTTCTGACCCTAGTTTTCTAGTTCAACCAAGAATCTTGTTATTAAAAGGCTAGTGAGAAACAGTACTCTCTTGATCAGAAAAACAGGCTACTGTTTTATTTTTCTAAGGAAAAGAATGAACTAGTATTTCCAATGTATAACTGCCATGCATATCTAATAAAGCCAAGTATTTCATATCCCAACCACATTTCTTTTTTCATACTAAAATTCTCAACAAGTGAATTAGAACATTTATATTCTGGCAAAGTGTTCATTTCTGGAGAAAAAGTAACAAACTTAGATTTTTGAATTTTAGATTTTAATTTTCAGTAGCAATAAATGAGGGAGATTTAACTTGAAATTTCCTTGAGCCTCTTTCTACTTCATCAATACTGATGTCTAGATGAGGTTATATTTCTGTTCTTAAATTTTGTTATATTTAAGTCATTTAAAATTTCACACATTTAATTAAAAATAATTATAACTCAAATTCTAGGAGGCACACAGTGATTGAAAGTAAAGCAAATGGAAACAGCATTTTATGGTGTTTACCAGGAGCCATGGTACTGCACAAGTAGAGATTCTGATTTTTTTTTTTAATTTAGTTTCCAAGCAAAAATGGACACTTATGTCTCCAAGATGTATTGTTAGGTGGAAAAAGCTGGGTTGGAGATCTTTCATATTATGTACTACCTAGTCTAGAAGATTAAGAGTATATTGATATTTACTTTCATATGCATAAAGAAACCATAGAAAGATTTCAAAAGCAAACAACATGGGCCAACAGGATGAACACAGACAGGGAGCTCAGGTACAGAGAAGCTTTCCTGAGGTTCACAGTAAAGAACATGATGGCCTTCCAAAGATATACTGGAGAAGGGCAATACCCTGCTTGGAGTGAAAGAGTAATGGTAGATGTAAAGTCTATAATCCTAGTAATAACAGGGGAGCGCAATGCAAAAACAGCATTCCAGCACACTGGTAGGATGCAATCTACTGCAACATGTAGAGGAGTTTCAGGAAATTGTTCCTGGAGAAGGGACACCCAAATAACACTTGGTGAGGAGGGACCGGGTTGTCTGTGGAGTTGTTGATGCAAATATGCTTGAGTCTGTGCAGGATAATGTACGTGAGTTTTCTTTTTTGGCCTTAGGTTAAATTTTTATAAAATCTTGTGTTGGTAAATGTAATGTAATTAGATATGTAATTTAATAGGTAAGGTATTACTATTAAAATGCAGCAGATGATTATAATCACTGCCTCCCACTCCATGGAGTGGGGATGGGGGAGACAATGAATAGAAAGACTTTAATTTGACACAATCCCAAGGATGACAAAGAAAGCAGCCTTCACAAGCCAAAGTAGTTTTTGTGTTTCGTGTTGTAAGTGCCCTGGTGGAAAATTGAAGAAACCAAATGCTTTTCAAAAGATGATCAGGACCCATTAACTCCAAGGGCAAGAGTTTTTGGTAACCTGCCATTAACAGGCAAAATTGTTTTGTATTTTTTCCTTCAACTTGAGTTTAGATTATGACCCTGAAAACAATTTTTTAAAGATTTGAAAGGTAACCTACCTCCAATAGTCAAGCATAGGAAAAAAAATTACCAAGTACCCTCCCACACATTTTAAAAAGATTTAAGAAATAAAACACTTTCAAGAGACAAAGGGTGGTAATTGCCGTGTGGTGGGAGACTCATCATTCACAATGACAGGTGTGAAAAAGGGAGTGTCTAGAGCCCTGTGTGAGAATCTGAGGGAGATTTAGATGGGGAAAAGCATCTGGGGTGCCCTTTGCTTTGTGAAAGATTATGTTTCTGGGTGACTTCCATCATCCATGGGTGAGTTGGGTCCAATTTCTAATTATAAAATTTATTACAGCCTTGTCCTTTGTGTTTTTTGTTGTTTTGTTTTATTTTTATTATCTTGGAGGAGGGCACAGTAGCAAGGAAATGATGGATTCATGCCTAATGGTATCGATTGACTGTGTCCCCACCCAAGTCTCATCTTGAATTCCCACATGTTGTGGGTGGGACCCGGTGGGAGTTAATTGAATCATGGGGGCAGGTCTTTCCCATGCTCTTCTCATGATAGTGAATAAGTCTCATGAGATCTGACGGTATTGAAAAACGGGAGTCTCCATGCACAAGCTCTCTCTTTGCCTGCTGCCAACCATGTAAGATGAGAGTTGCTACTCCTTGCCTTCTACCATGATTGTGAGGCTTCTCCAGTCACATGGAACTGTAAGTCCAATTAAACCTCTTCTTTTGTAAATTACCCAGTCTCAGGTATGTCTTTATCACCAGTGTGAAAATGGGCAAATATAGTAAATATAGTAGAGTGGGGTGTTGCTGAAAAGATACCTGAAAATATGGAAGTGACTTTGGAACTGGGTAAGAGTTGGAACAGTTTGGAGGACTCAGAAAAAGACAGGTAAATGTGGGAAAGAGTGGAACTTCCTAGAGACTTAAGAATGGCTTTGACAAAAATGCTGATAGTGTTATGAACAATGGAGTCCAGGATGAGATGGTCTCAGGTGGAGATGAGGAACTTGTTGGGAACTGAAGCAGAGGTGACTCTTGTTACATTTTAGCCAAGAGACTGGCAGCATTTTGCCCCTGCCCTAGAGACTTGTGAAACTTTGAACTTGACAGAGATGATTTAGGGTATATGGCAGAAGAAATTTCTAAGCAGGAAAGCATTCAAGATATGACTTGGGTGCTGTTAAAGACATTCAGTTTTGTAAGGCAAGAAGGGCATAAAAGTTTGGAAAATGTGCAGCCTGACAATGCAATAGAAAGGAAAGTCCCATTTTCTGGGGAGAAATTCAAGCCAGCACAGAAATTTGCATAAGTGATGAGGAGCAGAATCTTATTCCCCAAGACAATGGGGAAAATGTCTCCAGGGCATGTCAGAGACCTTTGCAGCAGCCCCTCCCATCACAGAGGCCCAGAGGCATAGAAGGAAAAAGTGGTTTTGTGGTCTGGGCTCAAGGTCCCCATGCTGTCTACAGCCTAGGGACTTGGTGCCCTGTGTCCCAGCTGCTCCAGCCATGGCTGAAAGAGGACCAATGTAGAGCTCATGCTGTGGCTTCAGAGGGTGCAAGCCCCAAGCCTTGGCAGCTTCCATATGGTGTTGAGCCTGCTAGTGCACAGAAGTCAAGAACTGAGGTTTGGGAAGCCCCGCCTAGATTTCAGAGAATGTGTGGAAACACCTGGATGTCCAGGCAGAAGTTTGCTGCAGGGGTGGGCCTCTCATGTAGCAGTGCAGAAGGAAAATGTGGGGTCAGAGTCTCAACACAAGAGTCCCTACTGGGGCGGGGCGGGCCTCTTATGGAGCAGTGCAGAAGGAAAATGTGGGGTCAGAGTACCGACACAAAAGTCCCTACTGGGGTACTGCCTAGGAGCTGTGAGAAGAGGGCCGCCATCCTCCAGACCCCAGAATGGTAGATCCACTGTCACCTTGAACCATGTGCGTGGAAAAGCTGCAGACACTCAACACCAGCCCATGAAAGCAGCTTGGAGGGAGGCTGTACTCTGCAGAGCCTCAGGGGTGGGACTTCCCAATACCCAAGACCATGGAAACCCATCTCTTGCATCACCTCCATGACCCAGATATGAGAGATGGAGTCAAAGGAGATCATTTTGGAGCTTTAAGATTTGACTGCCCCACTGGATTTTGGACTTGCATGGGCCCTGTAGCCCCTTTGTTTTGGTTAATTTCTCCCATTTGAAATGGCTGTATTTACACAATGCGTGTACCCCCACTGTATCTAGGAAGTAACTAACTTGCTTTTTATCTTACAGGCTCATAGGCAGAAGGGACTTGCCTTGCCTCGAATGAGACTTTAAACTGTGGACTTTTGAGTTAATGATGAAATGAGTTAAGACTTTGGGGTACTGTTGGGAAGGCATGATTGGTTTTGAAATGTGAGGACATGAGATTTGGGAGGTACTGCGGCAGAGTGATATGGTTTGGCTGTGTCCCCACCCAGATTTCATCTTGAATTCCCACATGTTGTGGGAGAGACCCAGTGTGAGGTAATTGAATCATGAGGGGAGGTCTTTCTCATGCTGTTCTGGTGATAGTGAATAAGTCTCATAAGATCTGATGGTTTTGAAAAACCTGGAGTCTCCCTGCACAAGCTCTCTCTTTGCCTGCTGCCATCCATGTAAGACAGGACTTGCTCCTGCTTGCCTTCTGCCATGATTGTGAGGCTTCCCCAGCCACGTGGAACTCTAATTCCAATTAAACCTCTTTCTTTTGTAAATTACCCAGTCTCAGGTATGTCTTCATCAGCAGTGTGAAAATGGACTAATACACCTATATTTTTCCCTCCTACACTCTAACACAGAAGGGGCATCTCATTATCTGGTGGATTATGACTTGAATTTTCAGATGGTGATTAAGAGAAATGGAGGCAGGACTGTCAAACTAAACCCATTAGCTGTGGAAGACCCAGACTCTTGAGAAGCCTTAAATAGAAACACAGTAGTGCCAAGAGGAAGCACCTTCTGGAGTTGGGGAAAGACCTAGTGCTCCTAGATTAATAAGGAGATCAAATGACCAGTTCCCAGCATTGTCAAGACTATGAAGTACACCCTTGCAGAATGTAATGTTCATCTGATTTAGTTCTGTCTACATGAATTACTTGTTATAAAGAGCAAAAAGTATGATATTGCTAGTGGAAGTGGCAAATAAAAAGATGTTATCAAAAAGGAAAATTTTAGAATTTGGAAAAAGTTTTTGCCAAGTAATGCTAGGATATAGCTTTATACTAGACTGCCATACTAATATAATTTCTTTAAAGTGACTTTTTCTTGTTTTCTAGGAGAGAAAATATTATTCACCATGAATAAAGGGAAATATAATTTAGTTTTTCCTGAAATTATCAAAAATGGTCTTAGATATGGATTGTTTAGTAGAAGAAATATTATGTCTAGAATAGGAGGAGAGAAAGTAGTATAACTTTAAGTGCAAGACAGCTAGTGCATTTCTGCCATGGACTAAATTGTTTTCTCTTAAAATTCATATGTTGAAGCTCTATCCTCCAATGTGACTTCATTTGGAGATAGAGCCTATAAGGAGGTAATGAATGTTAAGTGAGGTCATAAGGGTACA
Source organism: Homo sapiens (assembly GCF_000001405.40). NCBI lineage: Eukaryota > Metazoa > Chordata > Mammalia > Primates > Hominidae > Homo > Homo sapiens. The sequence goes on along the minus strand of NC_000015.10, from coordinate 37,482,173 downwards.
GCTCTAATCCAACAAGGCTCATGTTCTTATAAGAGGAAAAGATATATGACTCTCTCTGTCTCTCCTCTCTCCATCTTCTCTCTCTCTCTCTTTCTCTCTCTCCCCCTCCCTCCCTCCTTCCCTCTCTCCTCTCTCTCTCTTCTCTCTCTCCTCTGTCCTTTACCTCCTCCCCCTCCACCATATTCTTAGAAGAAAGGATATGTGAGGTTACAGCAAGAAGATGGCTCTCTGCATACCAGGAAGAGAGCTCTCACCATGGACCAAATCACTAGGCACCTTGATCATGGATGTCTAGCCTCCAGAAGTGTGAGAAAATAAATATCAGTAATTTAAGCCCCCAGTCCGTGGCATTTTGTTATGGCAGCCTGAGCAGACTAATACAATCTCCCCTGGAGAGCCACGGCCATATATTGAGAGTTAGTATGTTGAGAAATCACACCTGGCTTTTTCTTTCCCATTCTGTATACTTTCCACTTTACTGATTACAAAAGCTTGGAATGTTGGCCCTTTTTTCAACCATTTCTCATTCCTCTTTCCCCACAAGCAGTTAGGTACCAGTGTTACTTAATATCCCTCAATAATGTCTAATTCTGGTAAAAATGATTTTACTTATAAGGAATAAAATCCTACTCTACCTGAGATAGAAATCCTTAATTTCTTTTAACTCCTGTTGTACTCACTGTTATAACATTTATTACTCTTTTGACATGTAATTTGGCAAGTGACATCTGCTACTTGGTTTCACTCTGAGCCCCTCCAAAACATGTCTCTGTATATATTATACAATCAAAGAGAAACTCACAGAGATGAGCCCAACCTACTGAGTTTCTGTTTCTATTGAAGGTATTTGCTGAGTCTACAGCCTGATGAGGCAAAATGCTTAGAAGCTGAACAGCGTACAGCCACTAAGAGGCAGAGAAGACAGCAGAGCTTTTAGAAATCTCATAGGGCTCTGAGAGGCAAACATTGGAGTCTGGACCTCCCAAAGTAATCAGTATTTGAGAGAGCAAGATTCCAGAGGGAAAGGAAACATGGGGAAATGTTTCTGACACTAGGCACTAGTGTTCTCTTTCAGGCATTTGCCAGTTGTTAAACCACATAGAAAAAAACCTGAAAAGCTCAGGAGAACTTTTGGTAGTCTCATAATGACACAAAATTTGATATTGAATTTATGCATTAAGAAGGAGGTACTCTGCTAAATATCCAAGGTTCTTAAGGGGACTCCTGAAAAGCTACATCTTAGTTTTGAAGGAGACCCAGAGGTAGACAGAGCCTTACAAAGTCTTAAATTTAGCACTGAGTCAAAACCTCATTGGATTGAGGTGATCTGCTCCTACTGTTTTGACATGTCAGAGGATGGGTTAAATCTTCTCTTGAGGTTGAGAACATCACGCAGATCCTCCGCAGTTTTTCAAACCAAATATTTGACTTTCAAATCAAAATTATTATTTCAATTCAAATTTATTTATATTCAAATAAAATTTTTTTATTTGAATATAAATATTTATTTGAATATAAATATTTATTCATATTCAAATAAAAATTATTATTCCCCCACAGGGAAACAGGCTGAAGGGAAAAAAATCAGAAAATAGAAACAGACCAATAGATGATTCTGACTTGTAGCTATCAATTAATTTAACTGTGTTAATATGCTCGAGAAAATAAATAAGATTGGAGATGTTTATTAGATAACTGGACTCTATTAAAAATATATTTTTAGAAAATAGAAAATACAATAACTAGCATTAAGAAATATAGGGTATACATTCTTTTTGTCTGGCTTCTTTCACTCATCTATGTCATTATGTGTAACAGTAGTTTGTTACATTTTCATTACTGAGTAGGATTCCATTGTATGGATATATCACAATTTGTTTATGCATTCCCTTTTTGATGGACATTTGAGTTGTTTCCAGTTAAGGCTATTACAAATAAGGCTGCTATGCACATTCATGTATAAGCTTTATGCTATCTTCTATATAGCTTTATGCTATCTTTTCTTTTCGGTAAATGCCTAGGAATAAATGGCTGGATCATTTGGTATATGAAGAGAATCAACGTTTTCACACTATTGAGTCTTCCAACCCATAACAAGATATATTGTTCTATATATTCATGTTTTTAAAAAAAGTTTCTCTGAGCATTGATTTGTATTTTATAGTGTACAGCCTTACACAACCTTTTGTCAGATTTATTCTTAGGTATTTTATTTTATATTTTTATGCTCTTGGCAATATTATTTTAAAATTTTCATTTTTTTCAATTCATTGCTAATAAATAGAAGTACAACTAATTTTTGGACAATTTTTTTTGTCACCATGTGAAATACAGTTATTCTAGCATCTTTTTGTAGATTTTATCAGATTTTCTGTATAGATGTGATGACATCTGTGAATAAAAATAATACTATTTCTTTTCAATCTGCATATTGTGATTTTTTTCTTGCTTTATTACATTAGCTGGAAATTGCAATATAATCGTGAATAGATGTAGTGACAGCAGACATCCCTGTCTTGTTTCTGAAAGCATTCAGTCTTTCACCATTAAGTCTAATGCTAGCAGTAGGTTTATCAGGGATGCTTTTAATTAGGTTGAAATGTTCCATTTTACTTCTAGCTTTCTGAAAGTTTTTATTGTGCATATTGGATTTTGTGACATGCTTTTCTGAGATTGAGATTAAATTTCTTAATGTGGTGAATTACATTGATTGATTTTAATTTGTTCAACCAACCTTATGTTACTAAATTAACCCCATTTGATCACTATGTGTTATTTCTTTTACATATTGCTGGATTCAATTTGCTAAAATGTTACTCAGAACTTTTGCATTTATGCAAAATGAGAGATATTGATCTGTATAGTCTTTATTTCTGGTCATGTCTTTATAGCTATGGTTATCAAGATAATTGTGGCTTCATATAATTAGTTGAGAAGTATTCCCTCTCTTTTAATTTTCTAAAAAAGTTTTTTCTTATAGAATTAGTATAATTTCATCCTTGAACATTTGATAAACATCAACTACGAAGACATCTGGACCTGCAACTTTTGTGGGAAGGGTTGAAGCTACAATTTTTGGTTTTTTAAATATAGTGTTTCTAATCCAGGGCAATTTTGACTCCTTGGAGAACATTTTGCAATGTCTGTGCACATTTTTTGGTTGTCACAACAAAGAGAAGGAATTGCTGTAAGCATCTAGTAAATAGAGACCAGGAATGTTGCTAAACATTCTACAATGTATAAGATAGCCCTATAATAAATAATTATTTGGTGCAAATATCAATAATACCAAGTTTGAGAAACCTTGCTTTAACAGATGTAAAGCTACTCAGTTCTTGAGTCAGCTTTAGTATTTTGTGTCTTTCAAGAAATTGGTTCATTTCATGTAAATTATTAAATTTAATGGCATAAAATTATTCATGATATTTCCTAATTTTTATCTTAACATCTGTAGAATCTGTAATGGTATTAAACCTCACTCTTGGATGGCTAACTTTTGTCTTCTCTTTTTTTCCTGGTCAGACTGGTTAGAGGTTGATCAATTATATCTATCTTTTCAAAGAGCCAAGGTTGGTTTCATTAATTTGTTCTACTTATTTTCTATTCCATTGACTTCCACTCTCTTATTTCCTTTCTTTTGCTTACTTTGAATTTAATATGTTCTTTCCTAGCTTCTGAAGGTGGAAGTTGAGGCATTCACAGAAGACATTCCTTCTTTGGTATTATAGGCATTTAGAGCTATAAATTTTCTTTAAGTACTGCTTTAGAGTCATTCCACAAATCCTAATATGTTATATTTTTATTTTCCTCAAGTTCAAAATATTTTTAAATTTCACTTTACTTTTTATGTTTACTCAGAGTTTATTTAGAAGTTATATTACTTGGTTTCCAAAAAACTGAAACCATTCTGAGTATCTTGCTGTAACTAATTTAATTCTACTGTGGCCAGAAAATATTCTTTGTATTACTCGTTTTAATATCATTCACACTCGTTTTTTGGTTTATAACATGGCATACATTGGTAAATTTAACATGTACTTGAAAATAATATTTATTCTGATGTGATTGGTTGGAATGTCCTATAAATGTCAATTAGGTAAAAGTTGTTGATAGTCTTCAAATCTTCTGTATCATTATTCTGTCAATTATTCTATCAGTTATTCAAATCAATTATTGAGAGAGGGTAATTGAAATATCTGACAATAATTATGGATTTGTCTATTTCTCCTTTCAGTACTATCAGTTTTTGTTTTATGTGTTTTCATACTCAGTTATACCACTTAAACATTTAAAATCAAATGTTCTTTTATAAGTTGATCCCTTTATCATTATAAAATGGGCTTTTTTATCCTTAGTAACATCCTTTGCTCTAAAATCTACTTTATCTAATATTAATATAGCCACATCAACTTTTCTTGAATTAATTAATGTTAGCAAGGCTCATCGTTTTCCATCCTCTAATTTTACCTTATTTCTGTCGCTTTATGTAAACTGAGTTTCTTGTAAGTGGCCTATAATTGGGTCTTTTTTAGTTATCCAGTCTGACAATCTCTGCCTTATAAATGGATTTTTAGACAATTTGCATTTAATGTAATTATTGTTATGTTTAAGTATCTTTTTTACATTTTTCTATTTGTCCTTTTACTCTGTTATTAGTTAATTGAACATGTTTTAATTTCTCAGTTCTATTTCTTTATTAATTATAAATCTTTTAGTATTTGTTTTGCAGGTAATAGTGTACTTATTTAAATCACAGTCTATCTTCAAGTGTTATTATATCACTTCACATGTAGAATAAGAACTTTACCATACTATACTTGTATTTTTTTCAGCCTTTATGTTATTGTCATGTATTCTACTTATTTACATGTTATAAACCACCAAACACATTGTGAATTTTTATTTAAGTTGTCGATTTTTAAAAATATTTAAATATAAAAATATGATATCTTTACCCTTTTTTTTCATTTTAATTGTTTTTTGTTTTTGTTTTTGTTTTTTTATTATACTTTAAGTTTTAGGGTACATGTGCACAATGTGCAGGTTAGTTACATATGTATACATGTGCCATGCTGGTGCGCTGCACCCACTAACTCGTCATCTAGCATTAGATATATCTCCCAGTGCTATCCCTCCCCCCTCCCCCCACCCCACAACAGGCCCCAGAGTGTGATGTTCCCCTTCCTGTGTCCATGTGTTCTCATTGTTCAATTCCCACCTACTAGTGAGACTATGCGGTGTTTGGTTTTTTGTTCTTGCGATACTTTACTGAGAATGATGATTTCCAATTTCATCCATGGCCCTACAAAGGACATGAACTCACCATTTTTTATGGCTGCATAGTATTCCATGGTGTATATGTGCCACATTTTCTTAATCCAGTCTATCATTGTTGGACATTTGGGTTGGTTCCAAGTCTTTGTTATTGTGAATAATGCCACAATAAACACACGTGTGCATGTGTCTTTATAGCAGCATGATTTATAGTCCTTTGGGTATATACCCAGTAATGGGATGGCTGGGTCAAATGGTATTTCTAGTTCTAGATCCCTGAGGAATCGCCACACTGACTTCCACAATGGGTGAACTAGTTTACAGTCCCACCAACAGTGTAAAAGTGTTCCTATTTCTCCACATCCTCTCCAGCACCTGTTGTTTCCTGACTTTTTAATGATTACCATTCTAACTGGTGTGAGATGGTATCTCATTGTGGTTTTAATTTGCATTTCTCTGATGGCCAGTGATGGTGAGCATTTTTTCATATGTTTTTTGGCTGCATAAATGTCTTCTTTTGAGAAGTGTCTGTTCATGTCCTTCGCCCACTTTTTGATGGGGTTGTTTGTTTTTTTCTTGTAAATTTGTTTGAGTTCATTGTAGATTCTGGATAGTAGCCCTTTGTCAGATGAGTAGGTTGCGAAAATTTTCTCCCATTTTGTAGGTTGCCTGTTCACTCTGATGGTAGTTTCTTTGCTGTGCAGAAGCTCTTTAGTTTAATTAGATCCCATTTGTCAATTTTGGCTTTTGTTGCCATTGCTTTTGGTGTTTTAGACATGAAGTCCTTGCCCATGCCTATGCCCTGAATGGTAAAGCCTAGGTTTTCTTCTAGGATTTTTATGGTTTTAGGTCTAACGTTTAAGTCTTCAATCCATCTTGAATTGATTTTTGTATAAGGTGTAAGGAAGGGATCCAGTTTCAGCTTTCTACATATGGCTAGCCAGTTTTCCCAGCACCATTTATTAAATAGGGAATCCTTTCCCCATTGCTTGTTTTTCTCAGGTTTGTCAAAGATGAGATAGTTGTAGATATGTGGCGTTATTTCTGAGGACTCTGTTCTGTTCCATTGATCTATATCTCTGTTTTGGTACCAGTACCATGCTGTTTTGGTTACTGTAGCCTTGTAGTATAGTTTGAAGTCAGGTAGTGTGATGCCTCCAGCTTTGTTCTTTTGGCTTAGGATTGACTTGGCGATGCGGGCTCTTTTTTGGTTCCATATGAACTTTAAAGTAGTTTTTTCCAATTCTGTGAAGAAAGTCATTGGTAGCTTAATGGGGATGGCAATGAATCTGTAAATTACCTTTGGCAGTATGGCCATTTTCACGATATTGATTCTTCCTACCCATGAGCATGGAATGTTCTTCCATTTGTTTGTATCCTCTTTTATTTCCTTGAGCAGTGGTTTGTAGTTCTCCTTGAAGAGGTCCTTCACATCCCTTGTAAGTTGGATTCCTAGGTATTTTATTCTCTTTGAAGCAATTGTGAATGGGAGTTCACTCATGATTTGGCTCTTTGTTTGTCTGTTGTTGGTGTATAAGAATGCTTGTGATTTTTGTACATTGATTTTGTATCCTGAGACTGCTGAAGTTGCTTATCAGCTTAAGGAGATTTTGGGCTGAGACAGTGGGGTTTTCTAGATATACAATCATGTCATCTGCAAACAGGGACAATTTGACTTCCTCTTTTCCTAATTGAATACCCTTTATTTCCTTCTCCTGCCTAATTGCCCTGGCCAGAACTTCCAACACTATGTTGAATAGGAGTGGTGAGAGAGGGCATCCCTGTCTTGTGCCAGTTTTCAAAGGGAATGCTTCCAGTTTTTGCCCATTCAGTATGATATTGGCTGTGGGTTTGTCATAGATAGCTCTTATTATTTTGAAATACGTCCCATCAATACCTAATTTATTGAGTTTTTAGCATGAAGGGTTGTTGAATTTTGTCAAAGGCCTTTTCTGCATCTATTGAGATAATCGTGTGGGTTTTGTCTTTGGTTCTGTTTATATGCTGGATTACATTTATTGATTTGCGTATATTGAACCAGCCTTGCATCCCAGGGATGAAGCCCACTTGATCATGGTGGATAAGCTTTTTGATGTGCTGCTGGATTTGGTTTGCCAGTATTTTATTGAGGATTTTTGCATCAATGTTCATCAAGGATATTGGTCTAAAATTCTCTTTTTTGGCTGTGTCTCTGCCTGGCTTTGGTATCAGGATGATGCTGGCCTCATAAAATGAGTTAGGGAGGATTCCCTCTTTTTCTATTGATGGGAACAGTTTCAGAAGGAATGGTACCAGTTTCTCCTTGTACCTCTGGTAGAATTCGGCTGTGAATCCATCTGGTCCTGGACTCTTTTTGGTTGGTAAGCTATTGATTATTGCCCAATTTCAGATCCTGTTATTGGTCTATTCAGAGATTCAACTTCTTCCTGGTTTAGTCTTGGGAGAGTGTATGTGTCGAGGAATTTATCCATTTCTTCTAGATTTTCTAGTTTATTTGTGTAGAGGTGTTTGTAGTATTCTCTGATGGTAGTTTGTATTTCTGTGGGATCAGTGGTGATATCCCCTTTATCATTTTTTATTGCATCTATTTGATTCTTCTCTCTTTTTTTCTTTATTAGTCTTGCTAGCGGTTTATCAATTTTGTTGATCCTTTCAAAACACCAGCTCCTGGATTCATTAATTTTTTGAAGGGTTTTTTGTGTCTCTATTTCCTTCAGTTCTGCTCTGATTTTAGTTATTTCTTGCCTTCTGCTAGCTTTTGAATGTGTTTGCTCTTGCTTTTCTAGTTCTTTTAATTGTGATGTTAGGGTGTCAATTTTGGATCTTTCCTGCTTTCTCTTGTGGGCATTTAGTGCTATAAATTTCCCTCTACACACTGCTTTGAATGCATCCCAGAGATTCTGGTATGTTGTGTCTTTGTTCTCGTTGGTTTCAAAGAACATCTTTATTTGTGCCTTCATTTCGTTATGTACCCAGTAGTCATTCAGGAGCAGGTTGTTCAGTTTCCATGTAGTTGAGGGGCTTTGAGTGAGATTCTTAATCCTGAGTTCTAGTTTGATTGCACTGTGGTCTGAGAGATAGTTTGTTATAATTTCTGTTCTTTTACATTTGCTGAGGAGAGCTTTACTTCCAAGTATGTGGTCAATTTTGGAATAGGTGTGGTGTGGTGCTGAAAAAAATGTATATTCTGTTGATTTTGGGTGGATAGTTCTGTAGATGCCTATTAGGTCCGCTTGGTGCAGAGCTGAGTTCAATTCCTGGGTATCCTTGTTAACTTTCTGTCTCGTTGATCTGTCTAATGTTGACAGTGGGGCATTAAAGTCTCCCATTATTAATGTGTGGGGGTCTAAGTCTCTTTGTAGGTCACTCAGGACTTGCTTTATGAATCTGGGTGCTCCTGTACTGGGTGCTTATATATTTAGGATAGTTAGCTCTTCTTGTTGAATTGATCCCTTTACCATTATGTAATGGCCTTCTTTGTCTCTTTTGATCTTTGTTGGTTTAAAGTCTGTTTTATCAGAGACTAGGATTGCAACCCCTGCCTTTTTTTGTTTTCCATTTGCTTGGTAGATCTTCCTCCATCCTTTTATTTTGAGCCTATGTGTGTCTCTGCACGTGAGATGGGTTTCCTGAATACAGCACACTGATGGGTCTTGACTCTTTATCCAATTTGCCAGTCTGTGTCTTTTAATTGGAGCATTTAGTCCATTTCCATTTAAAGTTAATATTGTTATGTGTGAATTTGATCCTGTCATGATGATGTTAGCTGGTTATTTTGCTCGTTAGTTGATGCAGTTTCTTCCTAGTCTCAATGGTCTTTACATTTTGGCATGGTTTTGCAGTGGCTGGTACTAGTTGTTCCTTTCCATGTTTAGCGCTTCCTTCAGGAGCTCTTGTAGTGCAGGCCTGGTGGTGACAAAATCTCTCAACAGTTGCTTGTCTGTAAAGTGTTTTATTTCTCCTTCACTTGTGAAGCTTAGTTTGGCTGGACATGAAATTCTGGGTTGAAAATTCTTTTCTTTAAGAATGTTGAATATTGGCCCCCACTCTCTTCTGGCTTGTAGAGTTTCTGCCAAGAAATCCGCTGTTAGTCTGATGGGCTTCCCTTTGAGGGTAACCTGACCTTTCTCTCTGGCTGCCCTTAACATTTTTTCCTTCATTTCAACTTTGGTGAATCTGACAATTATGTGTCTTGGAGTTGCTCTTCTCGAGGAGTATCTTTGTGGCATTCTCTATATTTCCTGAATCTGAATGTTGGCCTGCCTTGCTAGATTGGGGAAGTTCTCCTGGATAATATCCTGCAGAGTGTTTTCCAACTTGGTTGCATTCTCCACGTCACTTTCAGGGATATATTTACCCTTTTGGTTGTCATTTTAGATGTTCTTTATTCCTTGTATAGATCCATATATTCACCTTATTTCATTTTCCTCTCTCTGGAGAACTTCATTTATAAGGTGGGTCTGTTGGTGGTGATTTGATTCGTGCATATCTGAAAAAGTCTTTATTTATGTTTGTTTTGAAAAATGTTTTTGCTAGTTATAGAATTTTTAAGGACTGTCTTCTCTTACATTGTTTCTTGATGAAAAATGGATATTGTCATTCTTATTTTGTTCTCTATGTGAGGTGACTTTTTTCCCTCTGGCTGCTTTAAAGTTTTCTCTTTATCGCTAGTTTTGAACAATTTTATTATGTTATGTCTTGGTGTGGTTTTCTTCATGATTCTTGTGTTTGAGATTCATTTTTGAAACTGTAGGTTTATAATTTTCTTTAAGTTTGGGAAATTTTCATCTGTTATTAAATTTTTTTTTCTGTTCCTCCCTCCCCCAACACACATCACATTTCTCTTTTGGGAACTCTAATTACACATACAGAAAATTGTTTTAAGTTGTCTCATAGCTCATTGATATTATCCTAATTTTCAAAATTCATTCTCTTCTCTTTAATTCATTATTTATCGTATGTATTGCTATGTCTTCCAGTCCACTAATCATTTTGTCTGTGATATCTAATCTGCCCTTAATTACATTTAGTATATTTGGGTTTTTTAATATTTTCCATGTCTCTGCTTATTTTTTAAAAAACAACTTTATTAAGGTATCATTTATACACAGTAAAATTTATCTGTTTTAAGTGTATAAGTCAGTCATTTTTAGTACAAGTGTTTATGTAGGCATGTTTTATTTCTCTTGGTTAGACATCTAGGAGTGGAGTTGGATTATAAGGTAATCCTATGCTTAACATTTAAGAAACTCTCAAATTATTTTTCGAAGTGGTTGCACTGTTCTATCTTCCCAGGAGCAATGTACATGGCTTCTAGTTTCTCTACACACTCATCAATACTTGTTATTCCTTTTTTTTTAATTATAGCCATTCTTGTGAGTGTGAAGTTGTATCTCATTATGATTTTAACTTTCCTTTCCTTAATGAGTAATGATGTTGAACATTTTTATGTGCTTATTAACCTTATGTATATCTTCTTTGGTGAAATATCTATTCAAATCTTTTACTCACTTTTAATTGTCGCATTTAAATTTTTGTCATTATTGTGGGTGTTTATTTTAAATTTTATGGATGCATAGTCATTCTACATATTTAGGGGATACATAGAATATTGTGATACAGACATACAATGTGTAATGATCAAATCTGGATAATTGTGACAGCCATTACCTCAAAGATTCACCATTTGTGCAAGGAATATTTCAAATATTTTCTTCTAGCTATTTTGAAATATACAATATATTATTAACTATTGTCACTCTATTGTGCTATCAACACTAGATATTATTCCTTCTGTTCACAGCCTCTGTTAACCACTAATACATTTATTACTTCTATGAGATCAATTTTTTTTAGCTCTGACATATATGTGAGAACATGCAATATTTGTCTTTCTCTGCCTGGTTTATTTAACTTAACGTCCTCCAATTCTATCCATGTTGCTTTGAAGACAGAAGTTTTCATTTTATGGTTGAGTAATATTTCATTTTGTATACCACATTGTGTACCACATTTTCTTTATCCATTCATTCTTTGATGGACACTTAGTTTGATTCCATATCTTGGGTATTGTGAATGATGCTGCAATAAACATGGGAGTGCAGCTATCATTTTGATATGCCAGTTTCCTTTCCTTTGGATGTATACCCAGCAGTGGGTTTGCTGGATCATATGATAGTTCTATTTTTAGTTTTTTGAGGAAAGTCTATACTGTTTTCCATAGTCAATGTTCTATTTATATTCCCACCAGCAGTGTACAAGCATTCCCCTTTCTCTGCATCCTCTCTAGCATTTATTATTTTCTATGTATTTTGTAATAGCCATTTTAACTGGGGTGAGATGGTATATTATTATGACTTTTATTTGCATTTTGCTGATGATTAGTAATGTTGAAAATTTTTCACATATCTCTTGGCCATTTGTGTCTTTTGAGAAATGTTTATTCAGATCTATTGCCCATTTTAAATAAAATTATTTTTTTTGCTATTGAGTTTCTTACATATTCTGATTATTAATCCCTTGTCAGATGAATAGTTTTAAAATATTTTATCCCATGCTGTAGGTTGTGCCTTCATCGACTGCTTCCTTTGTCATGCAAAAGCTTTTTAGCTTGATTTAATCCCATGTGTCCATGTTTGCTTGGGTTGCCTGTACTTTTAAGGTCTTACTCAAGAAATCTTTGCCCAGGACAATGTTCTAAAGCATTTTCCCCTTGTTTTCTTCTAATTATTTTAGTATCAGGTTTTAAATCCAAGTCGTCAATCCGTTTTTATTTGCTTTTTGTATATGGTGAGAGGTAGGGATCTCATTTCATTCTTCTGCATATGAATATCCAGTTTTCTTAGCACATTTATTGAACATCTCCTTTCCCCAATGTAAGTTGTTGGCATCTTTGTCAAACATGAGTTGCTTGTAGATGCATAGATTTATTTCTAGGTTCTCTATTCTGTTCCATTAGCTTATGTATTTTTTATGCCAATACCATACTATTTTGATTACTGTGGCTTTGTAGTATATTTTAAAGCCAGGTAATGTGATGCCTTCTGTTTTGTTCTTTTTGCTTAAGGCTACTTTGGCTATTCTTGGCCTTTTGTGGTTCCATAAGAATCTTTTTATTATTTTAAGTTGTAACAGATCTTTGTATATTCTGGATACAAGATTCTTATCAGATATATAAATTGAAATATTTTGGGGGTGGTTCCAAGATGGCCAAATATGAACAGCTCCAGTCTACAGCTCCCAGCATGAGCAGCGCAGAAGACGGGTGATTTCTGCATTTCCAACTTAGGTACCGGGTTCATCTCTCTGGGGTGTGTCGGACAGTGGGTGCAGCCCACAGAGCAAGAGCCGAAGCAGGGCGAGGCATCGCCTCACCTGGGAAGTGAAAGGGGTCAGGGAATTCCTTTTCCTAGCCAAGGGAAGCTGTGACACACAGCACCTGGAAAATCAGGTCACTCCCACCCTAATACTACACTTTTTCAAGGGTCTTAGGAAATGGCACACCAGGAGATTATATCCCGCACCTGGCTCGGAGGGTACCACAGCCACAGAGCCTCACTCATTACTAGCACAGCAGTCTGAGATCGAACTGCAAGGTGGCAGTGAGGCTGGGGGAGGGGTGCCCACCATTGTTGAGGCTTGAGTAGGTAAACAAAGTGGCCGGGAAGCTCGAACTGGATGGAGCCCACCACAGCTCAAGGAGGCCTGCCTGCCTCTGTAGACTCCACCTCTAGGGGCAGGGCATAGCCGAACAAAAGGCAGGAGAAACCTCTGTAGATGTAAATGTCCTTGTCTGACAGTTTTGAAGAGAGTAGTGGTTCTCCCAGCACAGAGTTTGAGATCTGAGAACAGACAGACTGCCTCCTCAAGTGGGTCCCTGACACCCGAGTAGCCTAACTGGGAGGCACCCCCCAGTAGGGGCAGACTGACACCTCACACGGCTGTGTACCCCTCTGAGATGAAGCTTCCAGAGGAACGATCAGGCAGCAACATTTGCTGTTCAGCAATATTCACTGTTCTATGGCCTCCGCTGCTGAAACCCAGGCAAACAGGATCTGGAGTGGACCTCCAGCAAACTCCAACAGACCTGCAGCTGAGAGCCTGACTGTTAGAAGGAAAACTAACAAACAGAAAGGACATCCACACCAAAACCACATCTGTACATCACCATCATCAAAGACCAAAGGTAGATAAAACCACAAAGATGGGGAAAAAACAGAGCAGAAAAGCTGAAAATTCTAAAAATCAGAGCGCCTCTCCCCCTCCAAAGCAACACAGCTCCTTGCCCGCAATGGAACAAAGCTGGACGGACCATGACTTTGACAAGTTGAGAGAAGAAGAGTTCAGAAACTCAAACTTTGCTGAGCTAAAGGAGGAAGTTTGAACCCAACACAAAGAAGCTAAAAACCTTGAAAAAAGAATAGATGAATGACTAACTAGAATAACAGTGTAGAGAAGTCATTAAATGACCTGACAGAGCTGAAAACCATGGCACGAGAACTACATGACGAATGCACAAGCTTCAATAACCAATTCGATCAACTGGAAGAAGGGGTATCAGTGATTGAAGATCAAATGAATGAAATGAAGCAAGAAGGGATGTTTAAAGAAAAAAGAGTAAAAAGAAACGAACAAAACCTCCAAGAAATACGGGACTATGTGAAAAGACCAAATCTATGTCTGATTGGTGTACCCGAAAGTGACAGGGAGAATGGAACCAAGTTGGAAAACACTCTGCAGGATATTATCCAGAACTTCCCCAACCTAGCAAGGCAGGCCAACATTCAAATTCAGGAAATACAGAAAATGCCACAAAGATACTCCTCGAGAAGAGCAACTCCAAGACACATAATTGTCAGATTCACCAAGGTTGAAATGCAGGAAAAAATGTTAAGGGCAGCCAGAGAGAAAGGTGGGGTCACCCACAAATGGAAGCTCATCAGACTAACAGCAGATCTCTTGGCAGAAACTCTACAAGCCAGAAGAGAGTGGGGGCCAATATTCAACATTCTTAAAGAAAAGAATTTTCAACCCAGAATTTCATATCCAGCCAAACTAAGCTTCATAAGCGAAGAAGAAATAAAATCCTTTAGAGACAAGCAAATGCTGAGAGATTTTGTCACCACCAGGCCTGCCCTACAAGAGCTCCTGAAGGAAGCACTAAACATGGAAAGGAAAAACCGGTACCAGCCACTGAAAAACATGCCAAAATGTAAAGACCATTGAGACTAGGAAGAAACTGCATCACCTAACGAGCAAAATAACCAGCTAACATCATCATGACAGGATCAAATTCTCACATAAAAATATTAAACTTAAATGTAAATAGGCTAAATGCTGCAATTAAAAGACACAGACTGGCAAATTGGATAAAGAGTCAAGACCCATCAGTGTGCTGTATTCAGGAAACCCATCTCACATGCAGAGACACACATAGGCTCAAAATAAAGTGATGGAGGAAGATCTACCAAGCAAATGGAAAACAAAAAAAGGCAGGGGTTGCAATCCTAGTCTCTGATAAAACAGACTTTAAACCAACAAAGATCAAAAGAGACAAAGAAGGCCATTACATAATGGTAAAGGGATCAATTCAACAAGAAGAGCTAACTATCCTAAATATATATGCACCCAATACAGGAGCACCCAGATTCATAAAGCAAGTCCTTAGAGACCTAAAAAGAGACTTAGACTCCCACACAATAATAATGGGAGACTTTAACACTCCACTGTCAACATTAGACAGATCAATGAGACAGAAAGTTAACAAGGATATCCAGGAATTGAACTCAGCTCTGCACCAAGCGGACCTAATAGGCATCTACAGAACTCTCCACCCCAAATCAACAGAATATACATTCTTCTCAGCACCACATCACACTTATTCCAAATTTGACCACATAGTTGGAAGTAAAGCACTCCCCAGCAAATGTAAAAGAACAGAAATTATAACAAACTGTCTCTCAGACCACAGTGCAATCAAACTAGAACTCAGGATTAAGAAACTCACTCAAAACTGTTCAACTACATGGAAACTGAACAAATTGCTCCTGAATGACTACTGGGTACATAACGAAATGAAGGCAGAAATAAAGATATTCTTTGAAACTGACGCGAACAAATGGAAGGACATTTCATGCTCATGGATAGGAAGAATCAATATTGTGAAAATGGCCGTACTGCCAAAGGTAATTTATAGATTCAATGCCATCCCCATCAAGCTACCAATGACTTTCTTCACAGAATTGGAAAAAACTACTTTAACGTTCATATGGAACCAAAAAAGAGCCCACATTGCCAAGAGAATCCTAAGCAAAAAGAACAAAGCTGGAGGCATCATGCTACCTGACTTCAAACTATTCTACAAGCCTACAGTAACCAAAACAGCATGGTCCTGGTACCAAAACAGAGATATAGACCAATGGAACAGAACAGAGGCCTCAGAAATAACACCACACATCTACAACCATCTGACCTTTGACAAACCTGACAAAAACAAGCAATGCGGAAAGTATTCCCTATTTAATAAATGGTGCTGGGAAAACTGGCTAGCCATACGTAGAAAGCTGAAACTGGATCCCTTCCTTACACCTTATACAAAAATTAATTCAAGGTGGATTAAAGACTTAAATGTTAGACCTAAAACCATAAAAACCCTAGAAGAAAACCTAGGCTTTACCATTCAGTACATAGGCATGGGCAAGGACTTCATGTCTAAAACACCAAAAGCAGTGGCAACAAAAGCCAAAATTGACAAATGGGATCTAATTAAACTAAAGAGCTTCTGCACAGCAAAAGAAACTATCATCAGAGTGAACAGGCAACCTACAGAATGGGAGAAATTTTTGCAATTTACTCATCTGACAAAGGGCTAATATCCAGAATCTACAAAGAGCTCAAACAAACTTACAAGAAAAAAACAACCCCATCAAAAAGTGGGCGAAGGATATGAACAGACACTTCTCAAAAGAAGACATTTATGCAGCCAACAGACACCTGAAAAATTCTCATCATCACTGGCCATCAGAGAAATGCAAATCAAAACCACAGTGAGATACCCTCTCACACCAGTTAGAGTGGCAGTCATTAAAAAGTCAGGAAACAACAGGTGCTGGAGAGGATGTGGAGAAATAGGAACACTTTTACACTGTTGGTGGGACTGTAAACTAGTTCACCCATTGTGGAAGAGAGAGTGGTGATTCCTCAAGGATCTAGAACTAGAATTACCATTTGTCCCTGCCATCCCATTACTGGGTATATACCCAAGGGATTATAAATCATGCTGCTATAAAGACACATGCACACGTATGTTTATTGCAGCACTATTCACAATAGCAAAGACTTGGAACCAACCCAAATGTCCAAAAATGATAGACTGGATTAAGAATATGTGGCACATATACACCATGGAATACTATGCAGCCATAAAAAAGGATGAGTTCATGTCCTTTGTAGGGACATGGATGAAGCTGGAAACCATCATCCTCAGCAAACTTTCGCAAGGACAGAAAACCAAATACTGCATGTTGTCACTCATAGGTGGGAATTGAACAATGAGAACATTTGGACACAGGGTGGGGAACATCACACACCAGGGCCTGTCATGGGGTGGGGGGAGTGGGGAGGGATAGCACTGGGAGATATACCTAATGAAATGACGAGTTAATGGGTGCAGCACACGAGCATGGTACATGTATACATATGTAACAAACCTGCACATTGTGCAAATGTACCCTAGAACTTAAGTATAATAAAAATAAAAAAAAGAAATCTTTTCCACAAATCTTTGGCTTACTTTTTCACTTGTATGAGAGTGTCTTTTGAAGTACCAAAGTACCAAAGTTTTGAATTTTGATAAAGACCTATTTATCATTTTTTTTAATCGGTTCTGCTTTTGGTGTCCTGTATTGGAAATCTTTGCCTTAGTAAGGTCATAAAGATTTATGCCTTATTTTCTTCTAAGAATTTTATAGTTTTTAGCTCTTATATGTATGTCTGTAATCCAATTTGAGTTTTTGGCTTTTTTTTTGTTTCTTTACTTAACCTTTGGAATATCTGGAACATAATTATAACTGTTTTAATCCCCTTGTCTGCAGATTCTAACATCTGTATGAAATCTAGCTCTGTTTTGATTAGTTGATTTTCCTCCTTATTATGAGTTATATTATCTTGTTTTTTTGGATGCCTAGCAGTCTTCAGTTGGATGCCAGACATTGTGAATTGTACCTTGTTACATCAGGATATTTTTGTATTCCTATAAATATTTATGAGCTTTGTTCTAGTACATAGTTAAATCACTTGGAAACGGTTTGATCCTTTTAAGCCTTGCTTTTAAGATTTGTTAGGTGGGACCCAAATAGCATTTAGTCTAGAGCTAGTTATCCCCCATACTTAGTCAAGGCTTTTCTCCGTATTTTATTTAATGCTATATTAATTATGAGATTTTTCCATCTGGCTGGTGACAACAGGCACTATTCCTGGGCCTGTGTGAGTACCAGACACCGTTACTGCTAATTCTGTCAGATGGCTCTTTCTCTGGGCTCAGATAGTTTCCCCACACATATATGATAACAATTATTTGGCTGAATACTTGAGGGAGACCCTCCTCATATCTACAGAGTTCTCTCTTTGTGCAGATTTGTCCACTCTGGTACTTTGTTCTGAGCACTCTCCCTGACTTGGTCGCCCTGGTCTCTCAGCTCCATTTCTACAATTCAGTTCTGCTAGTCTTTGGTTGGGTTCCCCCTTGTTGCCTAGAACTCTCATATAGAAGTTAGGTCTCTTCTCATTTGTTTACTGTTTACTTCCAGGTAGTCCATTTTGGTTCAACTGGGAAGTCCATAAAATGACATTTTTTTAAATGCTGAACAAAACCTCTACAGGAAAACTTTATCTAGCAAAAATATCCTTTAACAAATATATGTAATTGTATTAGTCCTTTCTCACACTGCTATAAGGAACTACGTGAGACTGGGTAATTTATGAAAAAAGGAGTTGTAATTGACTCACAGTTCCACAGGTTTAACAGGAAGCATGACTGGGAGGCCTCAGGAAACTTATAATAATGGCTGAAGCAGAAGAAGGCACATCTTGTCATGGCAGAACAGGAGGTGGGGTGGGGAGCTGCTGCACACTTTTAAACCATCAGAGCTCATGAGAAGTCACTATAACGAGAATAGCAAGGGGGAAGTCCACCCCTATGATTCACTCACCTCCCACCAGGCCCCTCTTCTGACATGTGGGAATTATAATTAGAGATGAGATTTGGGTAGGAGCACAGAGCCAAACCATGTAAGTAATTATTGTTATGGTTTGGCTTTGGGTCTCTACCCAAATCTCACCTTGAAGTATAATAACCCCCACATGGCATGGCAGGGACCTGATGGGAGGTAATTGAATCATGTGGGTGGGTTTTTCCCATGCTGTTCTCCTAATAGTGAATAAGTCTCATGAGATCTGATAGTTTTATAAAGGGGCATTCCCCTGAAGATGCTCCCTTGCCTACCACCATGTAAGAAGTGACTTTGCTCCTCCCTTTGCCTTCTGCCAGGATTGTGAGGCCTCCCCAGCCATGTGGAACTGTGAGTCAATTAAACCTCTTTCCTTTATAAATTAGCCACTCTCAGGTATGTCTTTATTTGCAGCATGAGAACAAACTAATACAGTAAAGTGGTACTGGTAGGGTGGGGTGCTGCTGTAAAGACACCTAAAAATGTGAAAGCAACTTTGGAACTGGGTAACAGGCAGAGGTTGGAACAGTTTGATGGGCTCAGAAAAAGACAGGAAGATGTGGGCAAGTGTGGAACTTCCTAGAGACTTGTTGAATGGCTTTGACCAAAATGCTGATAGTGATATAGACAATAAAGTCCAGGCTGAGGTGGTCTCAGATGAAGATGAGGAACTTGTTGGGAACTAGAACAAAAGTGACTGTTGCTATGTGTTAGCAAAGAGACTGGCAGCATTTTGCCCCTTCCTTTGAGATTTGTGGAACTTTGAACTTAAGAGAGGTGATTTCGGGTATCTGGCAGAAGGAATTTCTAAGTAGCAAAGTATTCAAGAGGTGACTTGGATGCTCTTAAAATAATTTCATTTTATGCATTCAGAAAGATATGGTTTGAAATTGGAACTTATGTTTAAAAGAGAAGCAGAGCATAAAAATTTGGAAAATTTGCAGCCTGATTATGTGATAGAAAAGAAAATCTCATTTTCTAAGGAGAAAATCAAGCTGGCTGCAGAAATTTGCATAAGTAATAAGAAGCGAAATGTTAATCACCAAGACAGTGGGGAAGATGTCTCTAGGGTATGACAGAAGTCTTCACAGCAGCCCCTCCCATCACAGGTCCAGAAGCCTAGGAGGAAAAAATGGTTTCATGGACCAGGCCTAGGGCCTTGCTGCTTTGTGCAGTCTCAGGAGTTGGTGCCCTGTGTCCCAGCCGTGGCTAAAAGGGACCAACATAGAGCTTAGGCTGTTGCTTCAGAGGGTACAAGCCTCAAGACGTGGTGGCTTACATGTGGCGTTGGGCTGTCAGGTGCATCAAAGTCAAGAACTGAGTTTTTAGAACCTCTGCCTAGATTTCAGAGGATGTATGAAAATGTCAGGATGTCCAGGCAGAGGTGTGCTGGAGGGGTGGAGCCTTCATGTAGAACCCCTGCTTGGGCAGTGTGGAAGGAAAATGTGAGGTATGAACCCAAACACAGATTCCCCACTGGGGCACTGCCTAGTGGAGCTGTGAGAAGAGGGCCACAGTCCTCCAGACCCCAGAATGATAGATCTACGAATAGCTTGCACTGTGTACCTGGGAAAGCTCAACACCAGCCCCTGAGGCAGCCTTGAGGGAGGCTGTACCCTGCAAAGTCACAGGGGTGGAGCTGCCCAAGACCATGGGAACCCACCTCTTGCTTAACTGTGACCTGGATGTGAGACATGGTATCAAAGGACATGATTTTGGAGCTTTAATATTTGACTGCCCTGCTGGATTGCAGACTTGCATGGAGCCTATACCCCCTTTGTTTGGGCCAATTTCTCCAGTTTAGAACAGGTGTATTTACCAAATGCCTGTGCCTGCATTGTGTCTAGGAAGTAACTAACTTGCTTTTGATTTTACAGGCTCATAGGTGGAAGGGACTTGCCTTGTCTCAGATGAGATTTGGCCTTAGACTTTTGGATTAATGCTGGAATTAGTTAAGACTTTGGGGGACTGTTGGAAGGCAGGATTGGTTTTGAAATGTGAGGACATGAGATTTGGGAGGGGCCAGGGGCAAAATGATTTGGCTCTGTGTCCCCATCCAAATCTCACCTTGAAGTGTAATAATCCCCACATGTCATGGGAGGGACCCAGTGGAAGGTAATTGTATTATGGTAGTGGGTTTTTCCCATGCCATTCTCCTAATAGTGAATAAGTCTCATGAGATCTGATGCTTTTATGAAGGTGCATTCCACTGCACATGCTCTCTTGCCTGATGTCATGTAAGACATGCCCTTGCTTCTCCTTTGCCTTCTGCCATGATTATGAGGCTTCCCCAGCCCTGTGGAAATATGAGTCAATTAAACCTCTTTCCTTTATAAGTTACTCAGTCTTGGGTATGTCTTTATTAGCAGTGTGAGAAGGAACTGATACAATTGTCAAAAATAAAATAAAACTAAAATCAGAGTGCAAAATAAATACTTTACCAGATAAACAAAACTGAAAGAATTTATCAGAAGCATTCACACATTGAAAGAAAGAGTGAAGAGAATCTATAGGTGGAAAGAAAATGATCCCAGAAGGATTCACAGAAATTCAGAAAGAAAGTACAAACAATTGAATGCATTAATTTTGTACAAAACAATGTATACAAAATAAAGTGTGAATTTCAAACATACATCTAATGTTGAAATTCATTGAAACCATAACAACATGTAGAAGTAAATGTTAAAGTGTTATAAGGTCTTAACATTGGAAATTTCTACTTCTTTTTAACTCTAATAAAGTCAAAAATGCAATTGTAATTTCAAGGTTCACCACTGAAAGAATGGTTGTAAAATATGTCAGAAAGCAGCAGAGGAATGGAAAGATTAGGTCATTTTCTTTTTTTATAATCAACATGAAATAAATTTCTGTATCATTATCTTCCTCATACAAACAATTGGTAGAGCTGGAAAAAATAGAAGATTGGATGTTTAAAAACAATCAGTTTTCTCCTGATGTAGAAGGGTAAGAACCGGAATACTACGCATGCCATCTTTCACCAGTTCTAAATTTCACATTATTTTACATTTTAATTCCTCTATAATTAGAAAATGTCTTACAGTCAATGAGTTACCATAGTTCATGTAGCAGCATTTTTTTTCTTTTGAGTAGTACATAAAATAATGGTGTAATTTACAGTTGATTGAATTTTAAATTTAATGAAATATAATAGGTACTTACTGTATATATTAATGGATCATCTTCAGATTTCATATGCGAAAGTAAGCCTGAGCTTACTTTTCTGAATAATAAAATACAGGAATTGAGAAATGAAGTCTTCCAGGAGAGATGTCTTTCTCACGCAAGAGAATGATATAATGGCAACATGATGTCTTGCTACATCAGAGAACTCTGATACTCAATGGCAAATTGTTACTGCAATATAAAATTTTCAAAAATTTTCCAAAATTCACCAAACTCTCTTTCAAACATGAATGTCTTAAATGGAAAAAGAAGTGACTTTGGCAAAACGCCAAAACGGTTTATGTGAAGTAGAAGAAGTTGAATGAACATGTGGGGGATATACCAATGAGATCTAGAATTTAGCAGGAGTTGGAACATGTGACCTGAAATTGGCGTGACAACTCAGGTTCTTGAAAATTTCTGTAACCTTGGAGAAAATCATTGGCTATACCTAGCTGATTTCATTTAATCTTCAAAGAAGAGAGTGACATCATCTAATATTTAATACATTTTTATGCAACTATTATATGCAGGTTGCTGTGAAAGTTATTTTACATGATTAAAAAAAAGCAAATGACATTGCCCTAGATCTCAAAACAGTATATTTGTGTATGTACACATATTATATACCAAACACATAGTTATACTAAAAAGATATCTAGATAATTATTACAAAAATATTATATATGTAAGTTGCAAAGATCAAATTTAAAAAAGCTTTGAATCCAAAATAAGCAAAGGTCATCAACATGTGATTTAAAAAGAGAACTTACCAAGTATAGAATAATTCTAGCAATCAAAGGCATGTATACCAAACAATATAATAGCATTTTTTAAATCTCTGTCACTTTGATATCTGTATATAACAAGGCTATGAAAAAAACTGATATTATACACAGCTAAAGTTATTTTAAATTTGTTTAATACTTTTGGAAAGACAAATAATAATGACCACCATTTATTAAGTTTTACTTTGCCCAAGTTTGTTTGTTTGTTTGTTTTGGAGACGAATCTCACTATGTTGCCCAGGCTGGAGTGCAGTGGTGCAGTCTTAGCTCACTGCAACATCTGTCTCCCGAGTTCAAGTGATTCTTCTGCCTCAGTCTCCTGAGTAGCTGGGACTACAGGTGTGGACCACTACACCTGGCTAATTTTTGTATTTTTAGTAGAGACAGGGTTTCACCAAATTGGCCAGGCTGGTCTCAAACTCCTGACCTCATGATCTGCCCGCCTTAGCCTCCCAAAGTGCTGGGATTACAGGCGTGAGCCACCATCCCCGACCACCACGTTTTAACATATTATTCCTAATCCTTACCTAAAGGCCACATAGTACGTGATATTATTGTATTATCCAACTAGAAACTGAGTCTACAAAAGATTAAATTATACGCTTAAGACTATATCAATGGGTGAGTTAAAATTTGTATCCAGGTGTATGGCTGTCAAGCTTGTATTCTTTCAATGGTATTATTAATGTTCATATTTTTAAGCCAGTAACTTTTCTTTGAATTTGCCTTAAAATAATGTAAATATTTAAAAACCCATCACAGATACTTGAAATAGCATAGGCTATAATAACAATACTGTAAATAATTAATTGGCATTGCAATAGTGTATTGTTAAGTAATCTTGATATATCTACTTAGTGGAATACTAGCCAACATTTTTTATAGACTGATGTGATGTGGAAAAGTTTGTATGAGTTAGTATTCAATAATAGTTCACTGTACAAAACTATATGAACAATATTTTTGCAAATATATAATGTAGCATTATGAAAATTAGGAGAATGTATAATTATGGTTATTTTTAGGGCATTGAATTATGGATGATGTCTTTCTCTGTTATTCAAATTCTTTAATATTATTTTATTACATTTTTATAATTGTTTTTTAGGCTAAGCATTATTACAGAGCAGTGGACAAAAAGTCTCGAAGTACCATAAACAAGGGTCATAGGCTTTGAGACAAGGCATCGAATTATCATTGTGGTCACAGTCACAAGGGACATTTTCATAGAGGAGACTTCAGCAAGGCCTTGAAAAATGAATAGAATTTAGAGAGATAGAATGCTTGTTTTGCCCAATCATGTCTATAAAGTGATTTCAAACATTATACGTCATTTTTTTAAAAAGAAGGAGCAGGTGTTTAAGTATCAAACAATTCACTTGGGACCTTTGCCCTCTCATTATGATGGAAATAGTGTTGGCCTGGGGGTTTTTGATGAGGCAGTGGAGAAGGAATGATGTCTCAATTCTTTGTTCTGAAAGATTTAAATTTTATCACACACCTCCTCTGGCTTTCCCTCTAGCTTTTCTTTCTTCTCTCCTCTCCTCAGGGAGGAAAAAGAGTGTGGTATTAAGTGGTCCTAAGAGTACAGGAAGGAGGAAAATGCTATTAGAACATGCTCAACTTCAAGCAATGCTTTGGTTCTATTAATCTTTACCAGTCATTCTCAGAGGCAGATCTTTAAAGCCCAACTTAACATTTCTGGGCTGAACACAAACTGGGAATGAATGTATTGGGTTGTTACGTCTACCAAATACTGTCTCATTTCCCAGGGCAAGTAACCTTGTCCATTAGCATTAGATATTAAGAGATCAATGCCAGGAGATAGATGGTGTAAGTTTCACTAAAGTATGCTTTTCTGAATTTATCTATTAATTTTATTACAACAAATAATTCATTTTTGTTTGAATCTAACAAGGTATTATAACATTGTGCTTCTTATATTTATCGATGGAATAAAAAGCAATTAAAAGGTCAGCTCAGAGAAGGAGCAGAATTTTCATGGGTATTTCAATTCACATGTTGATAAAATGTGTAAATAGCATTATAATTAGTTCTCCTAAACCCTCGCTTTTATTGAACAGTGATAGAGTAGTATGGTAAATAGAGTTGTTTGTTTTTAAAGTAATAACCTGAAGTCATCTCTGTTATCACTAATCTAAGAAGTGGAAAAATACCAGAGCTGTTCTAACCGTAAGCCTTAAGGGACTAAGTAGCATTTCCCACTCTCCACCAAACCTCCCCACCCTCTGAATAAAATAACCATTGCAGAATAGCACTTTTCTCTTGCTTAAATTTGGTTTTAAAGTGAAGCGTAACTTTCTGAATAATTATTTTCAGCTTGTAAATGGTGTCTCTCTAAAACCAACCAAGCATATAACAAGAAGATGAAGATGAGACTTATTTTCACTTCATTTCACTTCTTTGTAATTGACAAGCTCTTGCTGGGTGTCAACTTTAAAAGATGACAAATCCTAAATCTTAGAGGACCCAATTCAATAGTTCAGCTTTCTAAATTGTTTGCAAATTAATCTACATTTTCAAATGAGTCATGCATGAAATATAAGATGATATCTATATTACAAAAATATTAATTTCCTTGTCTTTCTCTTTTTCCCAGTCAAAGACAAAAGGTACACTGAAAATATTCATTTTGTTAAGAGATTGTGAACATATACTGTGCATTTTAGCAGCTTGGCTGTATCCATTTATTTACACTAATTTATTTCCATCTTTTTAAAAATGCAAGTTATTCAGTTTGTAAATGCTCTGTTTGTTGATGAGGGGAAAATTAAATTTGTGAAGTGTTTCAATACATTATACTTTTTAATGTAGGCTCATTTAGATTCAATAAATAAAATAATAATTTGAGCCCTGCTGGTTTAAAGGCTAGCCAGAGTCCTCTCCTCAGGTAGCCTTTGCCTCAATTTACCCACGTGTAAGTAAATGCTGCTGCATTGTTTCCATGCAAACTGATTGATAGTTGCACAGCACTTTGTACATGTTTAGTTCCTGACTAAACTTGCTATAACACTGATGTCAGTGATTTACTGAAGGGTACATAAGATAGACACTGTGAGATTTTCTGTTGCTATAAAATGAAATTTCAGATAATTTTTTAGCCCCATTGATTAACCATATATTTTGTGTCCAACAGTTAACTCTAATATCACTATCAAAAGATATTGATCTAAATTAATTAATGATCATTAGGGGACAGTCAAATCATATTTCTCTTAAAGAAATCACATTTCATATGAGACTATTTCCTTAATACTTTAACATACTCTATTAAGGAAGGCTAGGAAAAGCTCTGCATTTCAGGAAATTTGAGTGGAAGAATTTCCAAGTTGTTTGAAAAATTAGCTCTTCCTTGATCAACTGTCACAGTTATTATCAAATATTATTGGACATAAAATTCACATAAATTAAATAAATTAATAAAAGCAAAGTACCCATTTTAATGAACAGGGTCACTTTCTCTCTGGGATAGGAAACAGTGACCAGTGAAGCAGCCAGTTAGGTCACAGTTAAATTCAACAGAGACTTGTTTCTTTAGGAACATTATATAAAAGCATATATTTGTGGAAGTAAGAAGCGCTTTAAATGCCATCTCATCTAACTTAATTACTTTACAGAAAATCTGAAGATAGGATAGTTAATACAAACCTAAAAGGGGAAAAGTTAAGATAATAAGTATTTTAAAAAGTCTTATATATTATGCACATTTTATTATGTGTATTAATGAAGAGCACAAAGATTACTTTTTACATATTAATAGATTCATGTCTGAGTTCAAGACTATAGCACTAACTACTGTGGCTTTACAGTAATAGGGGGATGGCACAAAAGCTCAGCTCCTTGAGTTGCTGATTCAGCTGCTGCAATCAAGAAGGGTACAGAAATTTTATCTGATATAACTCAATGAAGGGAATATAACTTAATGCAAAACTCAGGGATTGAAGAACTGAGAAGGAAACCAGAGACTCTAATTTGGGGTTCCAAAACAATTATGCATGAGTCCTTCTTTGATTTCAGTGGTTCTAATATTACCGTTTCACTAATTAAAATTGAATCTCTTGACTGAACATTTTTCACTGAACTATGCTAAATGTATTTCTAAAATGCTCTGTCTCACACTGGCTACACTGTGCCAATAATTTCTATATCCTGCCATTTGGACATGGTGTCTTGAATCCAGACAGTGTTAGTTACACATATGAATTTTGGTGATTTGTTTCTTCTGCCTTCATGCTTGGTCCATTCATAAATTCCAGCAGCAAGAGAGATTATTGTATTATAATACAGTTATTTGTGAATATGTCCATCTTTCCCTTAGATTGTGTGATTCTTAAAAGGCATCCATTTTTCTATTTTATTCATAATGCCAAATAAGTGTCATGATCTGGGTAGGTGCTCGGAAAAAAAAAATGAATGAATGTGAATGCATTTTCAGGATTATCAATTGTTCTTCCAATCACCCAGCTACATACCTTCCTCTCAGTTCTGTCTTAAAGGTAAGATCTGGTCAAGAAAAGTTATGAAAGTATCTAACATATTAAGTCACATTTTCTTACTCTCTCCTGAGACTTTCAGGGTTGGGACATAGCTCCTTAAAATGCTGATACACAGGCACAGCAGCCATTTTGCAAAGCAGCTGCATCTAATTCTTTCCTTTCACTGAGAGACTTTCTGGATTGATAAGAAAGAAAGAAAATGGGGTTATCTAAGGAAGCAAAGACACTAATGTTTATTGATTAAGGTTTTTGATTATCCACGCTGTAGCCTTCCTCCATTGCCCTGATAAATACTTGGTTGCTCACGTCATTATCACCACCAAATACTTGCACTTGGAAGATCATTAAAATACCTAGTTAAGAGGGTCATTCATAGATCAATGCCTAGCAGAATGCATTACAATCATAAGAAACTCAAAAAAAATTAAATATCTGAAAGAGAGAACATGATTATGGGTTTGTTTTCTAATTCTATATTTCCTCTATTGCTCTGATCAATAGTACTGTTAATTACTCTTCAGTGAAAGATGTTGTGAACAATCATGCATCTACTTTGACATAAATTTGTTTGATGCTCAGAGCTTTCTCATGGTTTCCAGATTCTATCTCTTCTATCTTTCATAGTATACACAACCTCTTTGGTTTAGAAAAAGGGTTGGCAAGCTCTTTCTGTAAAGGGACAGAGAATAAATATTTTCAGCTTTTGGGCCATGTGCTCCCTGTCACAGGTACTCCACTCTGCTACGGTAGCATGAAAGCAGTCATAGACAATACATAAAGAAATGGACATGGCTGTTTTTCGATACAATTTTATTTACAAAACAGGTGGGAGGCTGAATATGAAGTCATCAGTTGCCAATCCCTGGAACTTATTTTCCAGTGTCATTTTCAACAATGTTGTACTAGTCTTTCAGATCCAGAACAAATATACAATTGTGATTCCAATTCCAAGCACTTAAAGTACTGTAATCTTCTATTATAAGTCACATGAATACTCAGCCTTAGAGGTCACATCTGTGGAGTAATAGCAATATGTCCTTTCTACCTCTTTTGTGTAGATGAAACTATTGTATGTCAAAGTTTTCTTTTTTTAATCACTTGTGTGTGTAAAGCTAGTGTAGGATTATTTTGGAGGCCTTTGAATCTGTGAAATTATTAAGATCAAAAGTTCTTAAACAATTGGTCTTAGAAATGTAATTATTAAATACAAAAAAATGGCATTTATGAGGTTTTTAAAATGTGACCATATCAAGGTGGACAAAACACATGCTTAATGTATTAGTTCATTCTCACACTGCTATAAAGAACTACCCAAGACTGGGTAATTTATAAAGGAAAGAGGTTTAATTGACTCACAGTTCCACATGGCTGGGGAATCCTCAGGAAACTTAGAATCATGGCAGAAGGGGAGGCAAATACATCCTTCTTCACATGGCAGCAGGAGAGAGAAGTGCTGAGCAAAGGGGAAAAATCTCCTTATAAGACCATTGGATCTCATGAGAACTCACTATCATGAGAACAGCATGAGGTTAACCATGACAATTCAAGATGTGATTTGGGTAGGGAGACAGCCAAATCAAATCATTCTGCCCCTGGTCCCTCCCAAATCTCATGTCCTCACATTTCAAAACACAATAATGCCTTTCCAACAGTCCCCTAAGACTTACCTCATTCTAGCATTAGCCCAAAAGTCCAAATCCAAAATCTCTCCTGAGACAAGGCAAGTTTCTTCCACCTATGAGCAAGTTAGTTACTTCCTAGATACAATGGGGGTACAGGCATTGAGTAAGAATGGGAGAAATTGGCTAAAACAAAGGGGCTACAGGCTTCATGCAAGTCCAAAATCCAATAGGGCAGTCATTAAACCTAAAAGTTCCAAAATGAACTCCTTTGACTCCATGTCTTACATCCAGGGCATGCTGATGCAAGGGATGAGCTCCCACTGCATTCTTGGGCAGCTCCACCCCTGTGGCTTTGCAGGGTACAATCCCCTTCCCTGGCTGCTTCCACAGTTGTGATTGAGTATCTGTGGCTTTTCCAGGTATATGGTGCAAGCTGTTGGTGCATCTACCATTCTGGGGTCTGGAGGATGGTGACCCTCTTCTCACAGCTCCACTTGCCAGTGCCCCATTGGGGACTCTGTGTGGCGGCTCTGACTCCACATTTCCCTTCTGCACTGCCCTAGCAGAGGTTCTCCATGAAGGCTTCACCCCTGCAGCAAACTTCTTTCTGCTTGGACATCCAGGAGTTTGCATACATCCTCTGAAATCTAGGTGGAGGTTTCCAAACCTCAATTCTTGACTTTTGTGCACTCGCAGGCTTAACACCATGTGGGAGCTGCCAAGGTTTGGAGTTTGCATCCTCTGAAGCAATGACCCAAGCTGTACCTTGGTCTCTTTTAGCCATGGCTGGAGCTGGCATGGCTAAGATGCAGGGCACCAAATCCTGAGGCTGCACACAGCAGTGAGGCTCTGGACCTGGCCCAATAAACCATTTTATCCTCCTAGGCCTCTGGGCCTGTGATGGGAGGGGCTGCCATGAAGGTCTCTGACATGCCCTGGAGACATTTTCCCCATTATTTTGGCAATTAACATTTGGTTCCTCATTATTTATGTAAATTTCTGCTGCTGGCTTGAATTTCTACTCAGAAAATGGGTTATTCTTTTCTATTGTATCATCAGGTTACAAATTTTCCAAACTGTTAAGCTCTGTCACCTCTTGAATGCTTTGCTGCTTAAAAATTTCTTCCACCAGATACTCTAAATCATCTCTCTCAAGTTCAAAGTTTCACCAGTTTCTAGAGCAGGGTCAAAATGCTGCTAGTCTCTTTGCTAAAGCATGGTAAGATTCACCTTTGCTCCAGTTCCTAACAAGTTCTTCATCTTCATCTGAGACTACCTCAGCCTGAACTTCATTGTCCATATCACTGTTAGCATTTTGGTCAAAGCCATTAAACAAGTCTCTAGGAAGTTCCACACTTTCCCACATCTTCCTGTCTTTTTCTGAGCCCTCTAAACTGTTCCAACCTCTGCCTGTTACCCAGTTCCAAAGTTGCTTCCACATTTTCAGGTATCCTTAGAGCAGCACCCACTCCTGGTACCAAAATTTACTGTATCAGTCCATTCTCACACTGCTGTAAAGAACTGCCCAAGACTAGACAATAAGGGAAAGAGGTTTAAGTAACTCACGGTTCAGCATGGCTGGGGAGGCCTCAGGAAACTAACAATCATGGCAGAAGGGGAAGCAAACACGTCCTTCTTCACATGGCAGCAGGAGAGAGAAGTGCCAAGCAAAAGGGGAATAGTGTCTTATAAAACCATCAGATCTTGTAAGAATTCACTATCACAGGAACAGCATGGGGTAACCACCCTCATGATTCAAATGACTTCCCAACAAGTCCCTCCCATGAAACGTGGGGATTATGGAAACTACAAGATGAGATTTAGGTGGGGACACAGCCAAACAACTCACTTAATTTGTATTATATAGCTTCCTATTGGTATCTTTGACCTGTTAGTTATGCTAGTGTTTTAAGAATTTATTCTTAGTGACTCAGTAATTCCTTACAGCGAGCATGATTGAAAACAATGGGCTCTATTTCACACACTATTATTTCTAATTATGAAATAATTCAATGATTCAAAAATACCAAGGAATTTGGTCCAGGGGTTAACATAAATAATTATATTATTCTGAATATATCTTTTCAGTCTACTCTAATCATTTCTAAGCAGATTTTACTAGCTTCTCAAAAATGTATTTTCAATGTATAAAACTGTATTCTATATCTAGCAACAGAGTCCAGGAAGAAAATGCAGTACACATTCACTGAGCTGTGAAATGTAAAAATCTATTCAACTCCATTAACTGCAAAATATACATCATCCACTAACGTACTGGACAATGAATGACTCTGTATGGAGTGCTACATGTCCAAATTACTGCAAGATGAACACTTTGGTAAAGGTTAGATGTTGCAGATATCAGTTTACATATTTTAACAGAAAAGTGAGCAGTGATGATGACCTTGCAGTCCTTTCAAAAGCTTAATTCTCTCCAATTCCAAAGAGCACTCTAGGAATTTTAGAAAATACTCTGAGAGACTAATCCATGACCTTTATTTCCAGGGTAAATAAAAAGTAAATTATTTGCAACACTTTTTACTTTTAGAAAAGTTATAATCCATGAGGACTTTAGAATAATTTTTATTTATTAGGCATCTATTAAATGCCTATGTAAATGTATACCTATTTTATGCCCAGGTAAATTTTCTTCCTTTTTTTTTTTTTTCCCAGACACATGGTCTCTTTATGTTGTCCAGGCTGGTCTCAAACTCCTGGCCTCAACTGATCTTCCCACTTCAGCCTCCCAAAGTGCTGGAATTATAGGCATGAGCCATTGTGCCTTACCCAACCTACTTATTTGGGGATGATTGTAACATACCAAAAGTTAGCAAAAATTTCATTTAGATATTTTTATATATTCAAGTGAAAGTGCTGCCATATAAGTTGACCAGACTATTATTTTTTTTAGAGATGGGGGTCTTGTTATGATGTCCAGGCTGGTCTAGAACTCCTGACCTCAAGTGGTCCTCCCACCTTGGCCTCCCAAAGATTTGGGATTACAGTCATATGCCACTGTGCCTGGTCTGTTGCAACTTTTGGGCAGCAGAATTACAAAATTACCTGATTATTTTAATGTATTATTTCATCTTTGAAACTCTACCGTGCAAATGCTAATACTAAATCCTAGATATGAGAAAAACTTCACAAAATTAAAATTGATGAGACACATTTTGAAACCACTATTGGACTAAAAGCTACAAGACATTAGCTTCACTCATATTTTTATGAGACTTGAGCCAATTGATTTCAATTACAAAAGAAAAGATCAATATTCATGATCATGTATGAAATGTTGGGGAATGTCTCATCAAAGATTATGCCTAAAAAAAGCAGTATAAATAAACTTATATTTGTCATATAAGCTCTCTGAAAATCTCCCCCTCTCCCTGCAGTTCACCATACATTGGTTTATTGTTTACCTCACCCATTAGGTTTTCTTGTTCTGATTTTCAGAACATGGTATATATTAAATTCATGAGCTTTCTATATAATACTATATTTAACCCTACATATATAAAGTCTACCTAAGCCATAGAAATATTTCTATCTTATATGCTAGGTAAAAAAAAAAAAAAAAACAGTCTACTTTTTTGACCTGTGAATTCTTTAAGCATAGTAGAAGGTCCTATAAGCTAAGGTATGGCTACTTGGTCGTTGGAATTTATTTGCAAAGCTGTTACCAATTTTAAATTTGGGAAGAGGCTGGGTGTGGTGGCTCATGCTTGTAATCCTAGCACTTTGGGAGGCCATGGTGGGCAGATCACAAGGTCACGAGTTCAAGACCAGCCTGGCCAATATGGTGAAACCTTGTCATTACTAAAAATACAAAAATTAGCTGGGTGTGATGGCAGGCACCTGTAGTCCCAGCTACTCAGTATGCTGAGGCAAAAGAATTGCTTGAATCCAGGAGGCAGAGGTTGCAGTAAGCCGAGATTGTGCCATTGCACTCCAGCCTGGGTGACAGAGCAAAACTCCATCTTGGGGAAAAAAAAAAAAAATTGGGGAAGAAAGTTTTAAATGATCAGTTAAAAAAAAATAGACACATGGTATGTACATCATTTGTTTTGAAGGAAATTTCCAACTTCTATAATTATGATCCAATATGTGAATATCAAGAACTCAAAGGTGCTTTTATATGACAAAGATCAAGCCATGACAAATGTTCAGACAAGCCTAATAAAAGTATCTTTTAGAGAGCAAGAAAAATAAAACTATTTTATACAAAATTATAGAAAGAAACATTAAAAGTGAACAGTAGTTATCTGCGGGTGTTTTTTCCTTCTTTCTCACTTTTCCCTATTTTCAAAATTTTTAATAATTTGGGAGCAATTACACTCAAATTTGAATTTGGGAATTTGGTAAAAATGATTAGGCAAAATCTCTTCATGTCTAATCCACAAACAGATCATCACCATAGAAATTTTTAAGTATTCCAGGTGGTAAAGATGTTATAATTACAATATTTTGAATTTAAAACTACTTACTAGCTATAAATTATTTGAAACAAAATCAGTTAAATGGAGGTGGAAACCACAAACTTATTCTATGTTCATTTTATTAACACTTTCCACAATGTAATTCAATTTTGGAGACAAATTTATATGTGAATTTTCTTAATGGCACCAATCATTTTTATGGGGTCAGGGTTTTGCCATAACATATAATAGTATGGTATAATAATTTTTCTTTGTTAGTGCAGCATAACTAATTAAGTACTTCCTTTTAAAGTTTGATTGAATTTAGTGAAACCATAGTTCAAACAAATGAAGGTGTATTGCTGACCTCAAATGGGACCTGGATTTAAGGAAATTCTTTGATGGAGCAATTGAATTAGTTCTTTTCCTCTCTCTATTTTTATCAAGATATGAAATATCTTAGGCTAAGTTAAGATAATGAAAGTGCATTTGTAAGATGTTTATTAAATTGTGCACTTTCTAGCTCTGATCCAAAGTTAAAGAGAAAGCAGAATTTTCTTTGTAAATATCATATACATAATATATTTATATAAAAATTTTATACATTTTTCTTTCAAACTGTTATTAAATCAGGACAACTGCTTATGTTTCCATTTATCATAGTGCCACTTTATTTCAGTGTTGTCATGTGAATAATAGGCAATCAGAAGTGAAAGTTTTTCAAAATTGCAGTCTTCTGGATGTTACAATTAAATTAATTACAAATCCAGAATAAACAGTTTTTAATCACATAAAACAGTTCTGCCACATTATACACACTTTTGTTATGATGTAAATTGAAAGGCAGTGGAATTTTTTTTAAATAAATAGAGCCGCGTGTTCACAAAGCTCCCGCTTACCCCTCATTAATAAACAGATGCACTAAAAAGATGTGCCCAAACATCTGCTCTTGATGGTGACATCTTATTTTTCAATTTTAATATTAACAGCGTGACAATCTAAATATTATTTATAATTTTTACATGAGCAATCAACAGCTAAACAATTCCTAAGTACTTTATTCATGGGCCAACCAGCTTGACAAAATGGGCTGTTTTCTGGAGAGGTTCAAAGAGAGGCAGTCAGGGGATAGCAGATCTTACCAGTCAAGGGGAACAATCTGAAGACATGAGTCCTAGCATGCTGGAGTTATGCATAGAATCAGACTAAGTAGGGCATTATTTTTAGTCCTACGTCTTGTTGCAGGTAGAGAGAGACTGATGAAGAGGGTCAAATGAAGAAATCAGCTCTACCAGCAGCTGGTGATGAGAGAGAGAAACAGGGAGGTTGTGGGGAGAGATTCTTATGAATAAAAAAAAAAAACCTATGAAGATCCCCATTATTGCTAAGTCAAAGAAATGGGACTGCCTTTGGACATGCCCATGGTCTAATAAAAGCCAGGAAAAATTCAAGTTTAAATTGGGTTCTAGTTTTTCAAGGCTTTGGCTTGTGCTCACAGCCACTACCTTAAGGCAAAAAGTCTTGAGAATGTGCCTCTGCTATCACCCTATGATTCAGACTAATTTTCATTCTCTGGTGACAGAAAACTTTCTTCCAAACAAGGTCTACTTTGCAGTTATTTTCTGAAATATTTTGGGTTACCCTTCATTCTCTGCCATTTGAGTGTACTAGTGCAAGTTAGCTTTTCCTGGGAATATTCAAGGCTCTTCCTGAAAAGTTTACAATCTTTTTGGTTTCTTATAACTTCCAATGAGGGAAGCTGGGTTTTCCTGTTGTTTTGTTTTATTAGGTCAGATATTTTACTAGATTGAGGCTGTTGTAACATGTAACAACCTGGACAACAATTAGCTATAAACCTGACTATACGCATATTCTGTAAATGGTACTGATTCTCTGAGTTCGAATCCTGTGAATTTTGAAATCTGAGCTAGAATCATTGAGGAGGGGTGGATGTGAGGGAGGTTACACTAAGTTCAGACATCCTTCTATAAAAATACCAGAAGGTATTTCTAAACATCAGACTTTTTGGGAGATGACTGTAGGATTAGTTGTGAATGACTACAACCATACTTTGGAGTGAGAAATCCACTCTCTATTACATAAAATAATACCTTAAATGGCCACACATATTATAATCTCCAAATAATACATAATCATGTCCAGATGTAAACTTCTAATTTACCTCACTACTGGTCCATAACAAAATGATTGTCTCTGTAATGGTGTGATCATATGTATTCATTATCTTATGTATTTATTTGAACACATATGTGTTGAGCAAATGTTCAGATGCTGTCCTATGAACTGGGGCTGCAAGGTCCAATCCCTCCTGCTAAGAATCTTGTTTTCTACTAGGTCTACGTTCCTTTGGGTCTGTGCTGCATTAAGCCATGTACAGGGTTAGCATGAGAATTCATATGAACTGAGGCCATTTAAATGCCTTGGGGAATCAGAAAAGATTTTCTTTTTTTTTTTTTTTTTTTTCATTATTTGAGACAGGGTCTCACTCTGGTTGTCCAGGCTGGAGTGTACTGGGGTGATCTCAGCACACTGCAGCCTCAGTCCCTAGGCTCAGGTGATTCTCCCATCTCAACCTTCTGAGTTGGGGGGGCTACGGGTGCATACCACCACACCGGCTAATTTTTTGTAATTTTTTAGAGTCAGGGTTTAGCCATGTTGCCTGGGCCTGTCTCAAACTCCTGGGCTCAAGCAATCCACCAGCCTCAGCCTCCCAAAGTACTAAGATTACAGGTGTGAGCCACCTGCACTTGGCCAGATTTTCTAAAAGAAGTCTATTTGAAACCAAGACATGAAATGTGAGCAAAAGTTAGCTGGAGAAAGAGATGAAGTAGGAGTATTCTTGCTAGAGGAAATGCCTATAAAATTGTTTCAAGGACTTTACTTGCAATTTGTGTCAAATGCAAAATTTAGGTTTTATTTTTAAAGGGTCTTTATTGCTGTGTACCAAGAAGGCTTTGTTTCCTCCCAGCAAATTATGCTATATAACACTGACTATTTTCATATTTTTCTTAGGAATAGCAGGCACTAAATGTCCATCCCTTTTTTCAATCTGAGCTATTATGCCTGCCCGAGTACTTAGTGTACTCTGCTGGGGTTCTCTGTTAATGAAGGAAGAATAAATAAAGTGAATATATGTCATATTTTCACAGAATTAGAAAAAAAAATTCCCAAAATTCATATATAATGAAAAGCCTGAATAGCCAAAGCAACCCTAAGCAAAAAGAACAAAGGTAGAGGTATCACATTACCTAGCCTCAAATTATGCTACAAGGGTAGAGTACTGCATGGTACTGACATCAAAATAGACACATAGATCAATGGAACAGAATAGAGAAGCCAGAAATAAAGCTACGTATCTACAGCAAACTGATCTTTGATGCAGTCAACAAAAACATACACTGGGGAAACATACACCCTATTTAATAAATGGTGCTGGGAAATTTGATTGCCATATGCAGCAGAATAAAACTGGAATCCTCTCTTTCATCATACACAAAAATCAACTCAAGATGAATTACAGACTTAAATGTATGCTCTGAAACTATAAAAATACTAGAAGAAAACCTATGGAAAACTCTTCTGGACATTGTTCTAGGCAAACAATTCATAACTAAGACTTCAAAAGCACAAGCAACAAAATCGAACATGGAAAACTGGGATTTATTTAAACTAAAAAGCTTCTGCACAGCAAAAGAAATAATCAACAGAATGAACAGACATCCTGCAGAATGGGAGAAGATATTTGCAAACTATGCACCTGACAGAGGACAAATATCCAAAATTTGCAAGATATTCAAACAACTCAACAATAATAACAAAAAACAAATAGCCCCACTAAAAAGTGGGTAAAGGATATAAACAGATATTTTTCAAAAGAAGACATACTAAATGGCCAAGAAGCGTATGAAAAAAATGT
Source organism: Homo sapiens (assembly GCF_000001405.40). Taxonomy (NCBI): domain Eukaryota; kingdom Metazoa; phylum Chordata; class Mammalia; order Primates; family Hominidae; genus Homo; species Homo sapiens. The sequence continues at coordinate 37,445,208 of NC_000015.10, read as the reverse complement.
TCAACATCATTAATCATCACAGAAATGCAAGTCAAAACCACAATGAGATATTATACCAGTCATCATAGCTATTGTTAAAAAGATGAAAATTAACAGATGTTGGCAAGGATGCAGAGAAAGTGGTACACTTATATACTGTCACTGGGAATGTAAATTAGTACAACTTCTATGTAAAAAAGTATGGATATTTTTTAAAAACTAAAAATAGAACTACCATTAGATCCAAAAATCCCACTATAGGTTATATCATTATATCAAAAAGATATGCACACTCATATGTTTATCACAGCACTATTCACAATAGCAAAGAAAAGATATGGAATCAATCTGAGTGCCCATCAACAGATGATTGGATAAAGGAAATATGAGAATATATATAGAGAGAAATATTATACAGCCATAAAAATGAGTAAAATCATGTGTTTTTGCAGTAACATGGATGGAACTATAGGCCATTATCTTAAGTGGAATAACTCAGAAACAGAGAGTAAAATACCACATGTTCTCACCTATAAGTGGGAACTAAATAATGGGTACACACTACCATACAGTGTGGAGTAATAGACATTGGAGGCTCAGAAGGGTGGGAGAATGGGACGGAGATAAAGGATAAGAAATTACTTAATGGGTACGGTGTACATTACTCAGGTGATGGTTACACTAAAAGCCCAGACTTATCCACTATGTAATGTAAAATAACTGCTCTTGAACTCCTTAAATTTATCCAAATCTAAATAATAATAATAATGGCAAACTCTCTGGATATTAAGGCAGGCACTGGTTTGAACACTGGGATCAAGAATATTTTAATATCTATGTGTCAACAGCAATGCAAATATTTTCAGGGACAGATGAATAATTTTAGGAGTGGAAAAAAGAAACTGACATTGGCATGCTGATTGCTTTTGACTAAAGTGATTTATTCAAAAATCTGATAAACTTCCATACATTTTTTTTTCACTGAGAACACATAAGAATATTGTAGGAAACTTTGTGATATTACATATGCCCAGGAGCCAGCCCATACCTAATCTTGGAATACTAAAAGTGATGCACAGCCCTTGTTAAGAGCCATTGGCTTAAAACAGATGACTGGCAGTTATAAGATTTTGATAGTACTATTCACGCTTCTTTAAAAAATATAACATTACTTTCCCAAAGCTCCTATCACACTAAAAACAATTTGATGACTATAATTATGTTTATACTCATTTCACATATGTTTATGTATTCTGAGAATTCAATGACTTTCTTTCCAATCCTCTGGTTTAGAATGACTTGGATTTGTACAAAAGGCAGTATTTATTCAGTCAATATTATTCATCAAGAATCTATTATGTGGCTGTACTCTGTCTGCTAAGCACTAGACTACATACTATCTTCAGAAGTTCTATATTCTCCTGGGAGAAATTAGTCAAGTAAACCAACAATTATAATACTGCATTTTTAAATCTTGGCCAAAGATACATACGAAAGATATTCTAGGGGAAGACTATACCTGGAAACTAAAGTCAATAGGTAAAGTGGGGCATCTAGAAAAAATTTCTAATAAACTAAATGAGTTTTAAAGGACACAAAGGACTTAGAAGAAAAAAGATAGTCTATGCTAAGGGAACAGCATGCAAGATGGCTCAGAGTAGTGAAAGAGCCTGAGAGAGCATATGAGGAACTCAGACTAAGTTTTATATATCTATATGGTGTGAAGAGCATGCAGTGCAGTGGTAGCTGAGGATAGGAGACAGAGACCGAGGCAGATCTATATCAAGAGAATTTTAAGTGAGGGAATAATAGTAAAGGATTTGTATATCAGAACAGTCACTTGGGTATCAATCAATATGAAGGATGGTTGGGAATGGGATTAAAGCACAGTAAGACTATCTCTGTTAAGCATTATTTGTGGCTTCCATAGGTGCTGCAAGTCATACAAAGATGAGCAAGATCTAGTCAGTAACCATAGGCATATTTATTTACTAATTTAATTATTACCTGCTGCCTTTTTTCAAAATGGATGTGAAACAGGACTGACCCCCAAGTTGCTTGGTACCTGGTCAGTGGGGGTAGGAGAGGTAACATATGTATATAAGTCCCTAGATTATATAGAAACCCATACCAAAGGCAGGTGAGTTGTTTTAAAAATGTTCCTAAGAGAGTATCGACAGGATCAGTTCCAATTGAGACGATTAGGAAATGCAACAAGAGAACTTAAGCCAAAAAAGAGAGCTCTTCTTGAGAAAAAGAACTTTATAGCCATGATTTTGAGGCTGTCCAAGTATCCTAAGCTCCTTCTAAATTAAACTTACCCAATACCTGGAAAAAAATAAATTATTAAAAATGAATTAAAAAAAATTCTGAAGTATGCTAAGGGGATTATTCTATAATGAAGTATAGGATTTACAGATGCCTCCAAAAAGGACATTTCACTTTTCACACTGAAAATTCTCTGTTTTTCCCCAAATCATGTTTCCCAGTGCTGTTTCCCAGTACTTCTTTCATTTATTCTGGATTTTCTTTCTTGCCTCTTTCTGATGATCTGTTATCCAAAATGTAATTTCAATGATCTACTAACAAAAAACAGAAATTTTGCCACAAAATGGAGTGTTTCCATGTTTCATAAAATCAGGAATCTCGGTCAGGCAGTACCAAAAAGAATAATGCTATATGGGAGAATGATAAGTGAGACAGCCTGAAAATAAGATATGAACAAGGACTCAACCTTAACAGATTTTTTTCTTCTACCAACCTTGCATTTTGTCTAATTCAGACTTGTTTAAAAACTATATATTAATAGTTGATTACAAATTAAAGATCACTGTGTGATCTTCTAACAGTCTTTAAACCTTGGCTGGATATGATTGCCAAGGAAAAGAGCAATTTTTGATTGAAAAATGCTCCTTTTGTGAAGCCTTTGAATAAAGTGGTAAATACCGCTAACTGATGCTTTTTGCCTAGAAATATCTGTATGGTGGATCTATTTTGATAGACAGATTAATAGGATGAAATATAAACATGTCTTTATTTCAACTACAAAGACCCCTTTGTTTTTCTGGAACCAAAAGTTTAAGTAAACTACTGAAAGTCAATATTTATTTGTCTAGTCCATGGTCAGCAAGAAAAGAAAAATTAACAGCTAAAACAATTCAAACTCTAAAATGGGTTTTTGGAAGGAGAAGCTCTTCAAATCAAGAGTAAATTAAAACAAATTAGATATTTGTCCTAATGCTCTCCCTCCCCTTTCCCCAATGCATGTGGGGCTTAAAACCTAGATGACAGGTTGATAGGTGCAGCAAACCATGATGGTACACGTATAACTATGTAACAAACCTGCATGTTCAGCACATGTATCCCAGAACTTAAAATTTAAAAAAATAGATATTTAAATGACTATGGGAACATTAAACAAAGGGTTGTAGAAATATATTTTGTCTGAAATACTGTACAGTGACTTCCAAGAACTGGTAGAAACATGTAAGTCCAAATACAACTCTCATAAAGAAGATTACAACATGCAACATCTTTTAATCCTTCCTGATAAATTCTAAATCTGAAAGCCTCAGGATTATTAACCAAAACAATACATAAACTAGTTGATCACTGGGGGATTTAAGTTATTAGATGTTTTTCTTCCTGTAATTGATTTCTCTCAGTAAGTAACTTTGGTCTGAAAAAAATAAAAATATGAATTTAATATTAAATTAATGTGAAGGAAACTATTACAAATTTCAACTGTAGTTAATTCTGCTTTATAGTTCCCAAGGGTCTCTGAACATTATTGACTGAATTTCTCAAGATTGTTATTCTTAAGGAAGACTTGAAAACTCAAAATTTTTCCATCTTAATCTTGAAAGTGAAATATCAATAATGTAGTGGACAGATTGCATCTGAATACGCTGATTCTGGATTCAGTGCCGTGAAGAGTGTTGCCTCAAGAGGATCGATGGAGGCATAAAGAAAACCAAAATAGGCCAGGCATAGTGGTTCCCACCTGTAATCCCAGCACTTTGGGAAGCCAAGGCCAGAGGACTGCTTGATCCCAGGAGTTCATGACCAGTCTGGGAAACATATTGAGACCCATCTCTACAAAAATAAAAACAAATGAGCCAAGCATGGTCCACATGCCTGTGGTCCCAGCAACACAGGAACATGGGAGGATCAACCGAACCCAGGCTGCAGTGAACCATGATTTCACCTGGGTGACAGAATGAGAACCTGTCTCGGGGGAAAAAAATAGAAGAAGCGCTGTAAAGTTTGATTTCTCCTAAATCAGAGATTATCCCAAGTCACTCTTGAAGTCTCCCTAGGTCCTTTTTCACAGTATCTCTTTAGGAGTATATACTGATTTTAAGTGACTGCAGATTCAAGGACACCGGTAAGATTAATTTGGTATTAGGAGCCTCTCCCTTCATAGGAGATACTATCTAGAAGACACCAGTAATACGGACAGCCCAATTCTAAAACTTAAAGTCCAGATAAAATGGGTGCAAATATTTATGTAAATTGGGACCTAGAGCAAGGTTAATTCATCTGAAATTTTCTTTAACTCATGTAATCCTACTCTAACAAACTTTTTCTTGCAGCTTTTTGTCTATTTCTTCTTTTATTCCTTTACTGATGTTTTTCTCATCCAAGACCCTAGATACGTTCCAAACTCCAATGCTTGATTGATTTCTCATCTCTACACCAAAGCAATAAATGGAAAAAGAGGAAAATGGATACATTCCCTGCAAAATAAAAATGTTAAATATTGATCCAACAATAGAAATTTTGAGCATACCAATAATTATAGAAGATGTTAACATTTTACCATTGAAAAAGTGATAAGATCAGATGCAGATAGAACTCTTAAGAAGCATAAAATTCTTATACAAATACAGGATCTCCCACAGTTCTTACATCTAAAACCAAAAGTTTTTTTTCAAAAATTGATTGGGTAGAAAAACCTGACTTCCTAAGTCCAGTTCAAACACTTTTCTGTAGAAATATTAATATGATTACAAAGTAACTAAGCCAGATCCAGCATCTAAAAGCAAAATGTTTAACTATTAACAAAACAAATACAATAATTTAACTTTAAATAATCATTTGCTACCAATCAGATTTAGTCTGGAAATGCAAGAATGGTTTAATAGTAGAAAGTCTATCAACGTGAGTCATTTAAAAGGAGAAAAAGATTATATTAATAGATGCAGACAAAATGTTTGACATAATTCCATTTGCTCTAACTGATTTTTAAAGCCTATAGTTAAGAATTTGAAGAAACGTTTCTATGTACATTAATTAGTATTTACCAAAAGCCAAAACAAGCAGCAAGTCAAATACAGAAATGTTAAAAGCCTTTCTTATATCTTTAATAATAAGACAGGGATGCGCTGGGCGCGTTGGCTCACAGCTGTAATCCCAGCACTTTGGGAGGCTGAGGCGGGTGGATCACGAGGTCAGGAGATCGAGAGCATCCTGGCTAACACAGTGAAACCCCGTCTCTACTAAAAATACAAAAAATTAGCTGGGCGTGGTGGTGGGCGCCTGTAGTCGCAGCTACTCGGGAGGCTGAGGCAGGAGAATGGCGTGAACCCGGGAGTTGGAGCTTGCAGTGAGCCCAGATCGCGCCACTGCACTCCAGCCTGGGCGCCAGAGCGAGACGCTGTCTCAAACAAAAATAAGACAGGGATGTTTATAGTTGCTACCAACATTGTTTTTGAGGTTCTATCAAATGCAAAATGATATGCACAGTACAGAAGCACTACAAAAGCAAAGACATTACCACTATTCTCAGATTATATCATTATATTTTAGAAAACTTTAGAGAATCAGCTAAAATTCTTTGAAATAATTAAAGTTTAGTTGTGTGCCTATCATTGAGGAGCTTTTCAGAAATCCTAAACACTTGAACTTTCTCTGCTTCAGGCCTCCCAAATGAGGAAACACCACTGTCTAACTCATGTTATGGTGAGGTTTAAATGAGTCATTATATATATTGTGCTAGAATGCCTGGCTAAACGAGTATTTTATCTATTGTTTTTGCAATGACATATATATATATATATATTCAATGTTCAATTTTATATTCTCATCTTATTTGATTTCTCAACAGCATTAGACAAAGTTGACCACCCCTTTTTTCTCAAAAACACTCTTCATTTTGCTTTAAAGATATCAGACATGACAATTTCCTTCTTGCCTCACTGGTCACTTTTTATTTGTCTACTGCACAGGCCTATTTTTCTTTGTCTCCCAAAGTCTGAGTGCTTCAAGACTCAGGAATTAGATTCTATTATATAGTTATGTAGTTTTCCTTAGGTAACCTAACATGGAAGTCAATTTAAAATAAATTATTGGCATAGCACTTATGACCACCTGATATGTGTGTGTGTGTCTGTGTGTGTGTGTGTATCCTGCCTCTCACCATTTGAATATAACCTGTACAAGTACAAGGAATTTATTGATGTTATTTGCTGTTTAATTGATAGTACCTAAAACTGTTCCAGATAACAAGTATGTGTTCAGTAAGTTTCTGTTGAATAAATTAATTGAATATGTACCAGTTAGAAATTAAAATAGAAAAATATCTAATTGATTATAACAACAAAAAGTACATGAAGTACCTAAGAATAAATTTAACAATAGTACATAACCTCTCAGAAAAAACAATTATATAATTTAATTAGAAATATAAAACTTGAGGCTGGGTGCGGTGGCTCACGCCTGTAATCCCAGCATTTTGGGAGGCCAAGGTGGGTAGATCACAAAGTCAGGAGTTCAAGACCAGCCTGGCCAAGATGGTTAAACTCCACCTCTACTAAAAATACAAAAATTAGCTGGGTGTGGTGGTGGACACCTGTAGTCCCAGCTACTCAGGATGCTGAGGCATGAGACTCGCTTGAACTCGGGAGGCAGAGGTTGCAGTAAGCCGAGATCATGCCATTGCATTCCAGCCTGGGTGACGGAGCAATACTCCGTCTTGGGGGGAAAGAAATTGGGAAGAAAGTTTTAAATGATCAGTAAAAAAAAAAAAAAATACAAAAATTAGCTGGGTGTGGTGATGGGCACCTGTAATCCCAGCTAGTCAGGAAGCTGAGGCAGAAGAATGGCTTGAACCTGGGAGGCGGAGGTTGCAATGGGCAGAGATCATGCCACTGCACTCCAGCCTGGGCGACAGAGCAAGACTCCATCTTAAAAAATATATATATATATATAAAACTTGAATGAATGGAGAGACATGATATGCTCTTAGATGGGAAGACTTTTATATCATAATAATACAGATCTTTCTTGAATTAATATATATATTACATATGTTTATGTATTAACATCAAAATTAGGGCAGGGCAGGATTTGTTTGTTACTTTGCTTTTTGAAACACAGTTAAATTGCACAAAAGTTAAAATGGAAGAAAAATGTGTAAGATTTGCCAAGAAAACCTTATAAAAGAATAATAAGAGGGGTAGTTAGTATTTTATTAAAACAATATTCCAACCAGTAGTGAAAAAAATTATCCATCAATGGATACCGGACTATCCATGAAAAAAAAATCTACTCCTAGATATTTACCCAAGAGAATGAAAACATACATCCATACAAAGCTTTGTATGTAAATGTTTATAACAATGTATTATTTTCATAATTGCCAGGAACTGGAAACAACTCAAGTGTCCTTCAACTGAAAATGGTTAAGCAGATTGTAGTGTATCTGTACAATGGAATACTATTCAGCAATTCAAACGAACAAATTACTGATATACACACAGCAATATGGATCAGTCTCAAAAGAATTATGCTAAGTGAAAGAAGCCAGACTTAAGAGGCAACATACTATATTTTTCCATTCGTATGACTTCCTGGGAAATGCAAAACTATAGAGGAGACAGATCAGTTGTTGCCAGGGGCTAGGAGTGTAAGGAAGGTATTAAACACAAGGGATCATGAAGGAGCTTTTAGAAGTGGTGAAAATATTCTGTATTTTTATTTTGATGAAAGTTATGACTGCATAAATTTGTTAAACTTAACATTTTACTGTATATAAATTATATATAAACTTACGTTGAAAAAAAGAAATCCCTACCTCAAACCATAAACTGAAAAAATTTTAGATAGACTATAAAAATGTAGGCAGGAAGTCCTAAAGGGAGAACCTGACTCAGGAATGAAAACATTTGTTGCCAGGACCTACCTTTTCTGCAAACTGAGTCTCAGATAGGACTGATCATTAATCAATCCTCTTGCAGCTTGCTCTAGTCTCACTTCCCCAAGGGGATGAATAATTATGAGGAATGTTTTATAAGGCCTAGGCAAGGCTTTAACAATCTATAAATGTAAGAAATAATTCATCTTCAATTTAAAGAAATTTTCAAAACTATTCCACTTAGTGATAGATTCCTCAAAGTCTTAAATTTTATTTTCTGGTAATGAAACATAATTAAAATATAATTAATGTGTATATATATAAAATGTATATATATACACACACATTAATGTGTGTGTATATATATGTGTGTATATATGTGTATATGTGTATGTGTATGTGTGTGTATATATATATATATATATATATATATATATATATATATATATAGAAACTTAACCAAAAAAGTAAAGCCCAAAATAGAATATAAAAATTATCCACTATTCTATCATTACTTTTTCGGTTTCTCAAAAGGCATAAAGAATGAAATTCTTCCCCTTTCCTTGGTCCAACTCCATCCGCCAGAGGTAGTCGCTGTCATCTGCAGTTTGATGCACTTGCTATTGCAGACTTTACTTTTACTAGAAGAGACTTATCTGCTTCTGTACACATAACTATGTTAGGGTTTTTAAAATTATTTATTTTGTTTTCCAAAATATGATTATGCTATACATATTTTTCTGAAATTTGTTTTTCACTTCCTAAATATGATCAAGACATCTAAATATATATATATTTATTTTATATATATAATAAATACAAGAATAAAATTAGAATGATTTTAGAAGAATTATAGCAGAATATTTGTGGACCTTGCAGTGAGAGGATTTCTTAACTAAGATAAAAGACACAAACATAGATCTTCTGTATCTAAAAGATACAAAAGCAAAATCATTTAAGCAATTCATTAGGTGAAAATATTAAAACACATAGGATATATTAATGAAAACAAGATAAACAAAATCTGCCACCAAAAAAAGAGGAAAAGGAAAAGTAGGCAAAGCAAATAGATGACAAACACATTAAAAAATATACAAATGTGCCAAAGGTCAAGAAAATACAAATTAAAATAACAGATAACATTTTCTGGTCCTTATTGGCAAAATATATATATATATATTTATGTTGAAAACATTCAGATTAAACAGATATTTCTATAAACTTTGTGGTAGTGTATGTACTATATCAATTTAGCAAAATAATCTATGGGTTATTTAAACAAACATGTGGGCTTGATTCAGCAGTTGAACTTCTGGAAATTTATTTAACAAGTTAATTAAATTATTTGTATGATAAAACAATTATTGGAATTATTAATTACCTAGCAATTAATATTATTAATTTAATTAATTAGTAAACAAAATTGTTAATTTTACATTCATTAAAGTTTTTAAATCCATATTGGGTAAAATGAAATTCTTAATAAAGTATAAATTCAGAAAAACATACATGGAAAGATACTGTAGCATTGTTTGCATTAGCAACAAAGAAAACAAAAACAAATTAAATGTATATTATGATTATTAGGTAACCACTAAAATGAATGAGACAGAACTATATACTTTCACTTAGAAGGATGTGTACATTACATAGTTAAATAAAAATGCAAATAACTAAAGTCATGCATATGTGATTTTATTTTTTATTAAATCAGTGGAAATCTTAACTGCATATGTCGACATGGAGGATATTGTGGAGTCCTCCACTCAGATTCCTTCTTCAGGGCCATTCCGCAGTTGCTCAGATTATCAACTAATGATGGCTCTGAGTTTTATACTTTTCTGGGAACTACTTCCAAAGATTGGCCAATAAGTGACTGATGTGGGGATAAAAAATCCTAGCACCATTGCCTGTAGAGTTTATCTGTAAGTTTGACCAAAGCATCAGTTGCAACTTCATCCAAGATCAGCTTGTCCTTCTGTCCAGTGCTGCCTTCCTCACTTCCTTAAGTGGGTATCTTAGAGGTGTATTCTGAAGTGCTCACTGCAAAGACTCCACACGCAACAGCCTGTCTCAGAGTCTGTTTTTTTGAGAGCTCAATTGAAAACAACCCATGTGTCTGCACAGGTTAATAAATGCACAGGAGATAGCACCAAAAAAAGATACACAGGAAGTCATTTATACTAGATAATTAAGGGTGTAGGACTGGCACAGAAGGGCAAGTGAGAATATTTTATTTATCCTTTTATTGTTTTAATTATTAAACTTAGAGATTATTTCTTTTGTAATTTAAGTCACTGAGAAACTACTCTGTGAACCATAGTAAATTATTCCTTGTGACATGTAAGGAAGAAACAACATTCCTAACCTTTAATTCATTTTATCTGCTTTAAAAAGAAACTTGTTCAAAGTTTCTTTTAAGTCATTCAGAAAAGTAAGTCATCAGCCTTCCCAAATGGACATATTCTGCACTTTTAATTTTATGCTGGCAGAGAATGTGATCAATAAATTATTGCTGTTTGTGAAACATTTGCTTTCATGGTTCTAACATATTTTAACTCATAGGGTTACTAGAATTTTTTTTCACATTATATGACAGCTGAAATTAAACAAATCCATTCAACTACAGAGCTAAATAGAAGGTTTGCTACGTGTGTCATTAGCACCATCCGTATAAGGTAACAGAAAATATGAGGTGTGGATTTTAAAAATATGATAAAATGAGAATACTGTTAGATGCACAAGAAGGTGTGACTTCAGGCCAGGCATATTCTTATTAGAAAAAAACTGCCTCTGTTTTATTTTACTAAAATAATTGGCATTATGTGTTTTGAGTTGACATCTTTCAAATTATTTTATCAAATCAAAAATATATACCTCAGTTGAAATATATTTTAATTATGTCATTTTAATGTAGCATATGACATAAAAGATTGCTCTGGAGTAGGCTCCTAAGCATTTTTACCATTAAGAATATTATGTTAGAATGAAGAAACATAATTTATTTGGTTATATATTTTGGCCCTTAACACATTTGCAACATGTTTTTGATGCTTCAGTAGAAAACTCTTAGAAAAGTATAAAAACACATAACAATTGCTCAAAATATTTAAAGATTAACACATTAGAATATTCACATATATATATAATTTTTAATGAGCACGTGTTATTCGTAATCACAACACTTAGATTATGTGTCATCACACCCAGCAGCCTGTAATTTTGACATTGCCTTTTGTCTACTTTGCATTTATACGCATTCTTTCATTCAGAGATATTCTAAGAATAAATATACAAAGAACTAGAAAGTTGTACAGCCTATAGCTGGGAAGAGATTGGAGATTCTTCATTTCCCCTTTAAAACATATAGACCGATGTCCTCAGCGATGTTGAATGCCAATTGAGTTGCATACTTCCAACAGCATTTTCATTTCCAATCCTATTTATGCCAGTAATAGTTATTGCAATTCCATAACTAAATATATAAAATTAAATATATAAATATATTAAATATATTAAATAAAGTACAACTATGTAAAGAGAGTTTCAGTTTTTTAATAATTGAAATTATGAATGTGTAAACTAAAGACAAATTGCTTTCTACAAGATGTAATCACTGTACATTGAGGTGTGCATGAGACAACTATAGAACATTGGAACCAAAATTTGTAAGAACCTAGAATAATAATTTACTTATATTCTTTTACAAATGTTCTTGAGGATCAGTTGGATCCTCACAGAGCACCTTGCCCAGCAGTCAGTAAGTTCTCACTAAATGTAAGCTTATCTGTAAGGAGATGTGGAGAACAGTGTGAATCTGCATTCATTGCTATCCAGCAATTTGCATTTTTTCCCTCAAAAATCCCAGTTGTTTTCTTTTTTTTTTTTTTAATGGGTCAAGTAAATTTCTTTTTTTTTTCTATTATTATACTTTAAGTTTTAGGGTACATGTGCACATTGTGCAGGTTAGTTACATATGTATACATGTGCCATGCTGGTGTGCTGCACCCACTAACTCGTCATCTAGCATTAGGTATATCTCCCAAAGCTATCCCTCCCCCCTCCCCCCACCCCACAACAGTCCCCAGAGTGTGATGTTCCCCTTCCTGTGTCCATGTGATCTCATTGTTCAATTCCCACCTATGAGTGAAAATATGCGGTGTTTGGTTTTTTGTTCTTGCGATAGATTACTGAGAAAGATGATTTCCAATTTCATCCATGTCCCTACAAAGGACATGAACTCATCCTTTTTTATGGCTGCATAGTATTCCATGGTGTATATGTTGCACATTTTCTTAATCCAGTCTATCATTGTTGGACATTTGGGTTGGTTCCAAGACTTTGCTATTGTGAATAGTGCCGCAAGAAACATACATGTGCATGTGTCTTTATAGCAGCATGATTTATAGTCCTTTGGGTATATACCCAGTAATGGGATGGCTGGGTCAAATGGTATTTCTAGTTCTAGATCCCTGAGGAATCGCCACACTGACTTCCACAATGGGTGAACTAGTTTACAGTCCCACCAACAGTGTAAAAGTGTTCCTATTTCTCCACATCCTCTCCAGCACCTGTTGTTTCCTGACTTTTTAATGATTGCCATTCTAACTGGTGTGAGATGGTATCTCATTGTGGTTTTGATTTGCATTTCTCTGATGGCCAGTGATGGTGAGCATTTTTTCATGTGTTTTTTGGCTGCATAAATGTCTTCTTTTGAGAAGTCTCTGTTCATGTCCTTTGCCCACTTTTTGATGGGGTTGTTTGTTTTTTTCTTGTAAATTTGTTTGGGTTCATTGTAGATTCTGGGTATTAGCCCTTTGTCAGATGAGTAGGTTGCGAAAATTTTCTCCCATTTTGTAGGTTGCCTGTTCACTCTGATGGTAGTTTCTTTTGCTGTGCAGAAGCTCTTTAGTTTAATTAGATCCCATTTGTCAATTTTGGCTTTTGTTGCCATTGCTTTTGGTGTTTTAGACATGAAGTCCTTGCCCATGCCTATGTCCTGAATGGTATTGCCTAGGTTTTCTTCTAGGGTTTTTATGGTTTTAGGTGTAACGTTTAAGTCTTTAATCCATCTTGAATTGATTTTTGTATAAGGTGTAAGGAAGGGATCCAGTTTTAGCTTTCTACATATGGCTAGCCAGTTTTCCCAGCACCATTTATTAAATAGGGAATCCTTTCCCCATTGCTTGTTTTTCTCAGGTTTGTCAAAGATCAGATAGTTGTAGATATGCGGCGTTATTTCTGAGGGCTCTGTTCTGTTCCATTGATCTATATCTCTGTTTTGGTACCAGTACCATGCTGTTATGGTTACTGTAGCCTTGTAGTATAGCTTGAAGTCAGGTAGTGTGATGCCTCCAGCTTTGTTCTTTTGGCTTAGGATTGACTTGGCAATGCAGGCTCTTTTTTGGTTCCATATGAACTTTAAAATAGTTTTTTCCAATTCTGTGAAGAAAGGCATTGGTAGCTTGATGGAGATGGCATTGAATCTGTAAATTACCTTGGGCAGTATGGCCATTTTCACAATATTGATTCTTCCTACCCATGAGCATGGAATGTTCTTCCATTTGTTTGTATCCTCTTTTATTTCCTTGAGCAGTGGTTTGTAGTTCTCCTTGAAGAAGTCCTTCACATCCCTTGTAAGTTGGATTCCTAGGTATTTTATTCTCTTTGAAGCAATTGTGAATGGGAGTTCACTCATGATTTGGCTCTCTGTTTGTCTGTTGTTGGTGTATAAGAATGCTTGTGATTTTTGTACATTGATTTTGTATCCTGAGACTTTGCTGAAGTTGCTTATCAGCTTAAGGAGATTTCGGGCTGAGACACTGGGGTTTTCTAGATATACAATCATGTCGTCTGCAAACAGGGACAGTTTGACTTCCTCTTTTCCTAATTGAATACCCTTTATTTCCTCCTCCTGCCTAATTGCCCTGGCCAGAACTTCCAACACTATGTTGAATAGGAGTGGTGAGAGAGGGCATCCCTGTCTTGTGCCAGTTTTCAAAGGGAATGCTTCAGTTTTTGCCCATTCAGTATGATATTGGCTGTGGGTTTGTCATAGATAGCTCTTATTATTTTGAAATACGTCCCATCAATACCTAATTTATTGAGAGTTTTTAGCATGAAGGGTTGTTGAAATTTGTCAAAGGCTTTTTCTGCATCTATTGAGATAATCATGTGGTTTTTGTCTTTGGTTCTGTTTATATGCTGGATTACATTTATTGATTTGCATATATTGAACCAGCCTTGCATCCCAGGGATGAAGCCCACTTGATCATGGTGGATAAGCTTTTTGATGTGCTGCTGGATTCGTTTTGCCAGTATTTTATTGAGGATTTTTGTATCAATGTTCATCAAGGATATTGGTCTAAAATTCTCTTTTTTTGTTGTGTCTCTGCCAGGCTTTGGTATCAGAATGATGCTGGCCTCATAAAATGAGTTAGGGAGGATTCCCTCTTTTTCTATTGATTGGAATAGTTTCAGAAGGAATGGTACCAGTTCCTCCTTGTACCTCTGGTAGAATTCGGCTGTGAATCCATCTGGTCCTGGACTCTTTTTGGTTGGTAAGCTATTGATTATTGCCACAATTTCAGATCCTGTTATTGATCTATTCAGAGATTCAACTTCTTCCTGGTTTAGTCTTGGGAGAGTGTATGTGTCGAGGAATTTATCCATTTCTTCTAGATTTTCTAGTTTATTTGCATAGAGGTGTTTGTAGTATTCTCTGATGGTAGTTTGTATTTCTGTGGGATCGGTGGTGATATCCCCTTTATCATTTTTTATTGCGTCTATTTGATTCTTCTCTCTTTTTTTCTTTATTAGTCTTGCTAGCGGTCTATCAATTTTGTTGATCCTTTCAAAAAACCAGCTCCTGGATTCATTAATTTTTTGAAGGGTTTTTTGTGTCTCTATTTCCTTCAGTTCTGCTCTGATTTTAGTTATTTCTTGCCTTCTGCTAGCTTTTGAATGTGTTTGCTCTTGCTTTTCTAATTCTTTTAATTGTGATGTTAGGGTGTCAATTTTGGATCTTTCCTGCTTTCTCTTGTGGGCATTTAGTGCTGTAAATTTCCCTCTACACACTGCTTTGAATGCGTCCCAGAGATTCTGGTATGTTGTGTCTTTGTTCTCGTTGGTTTCAAAGAACATCTTTATTTGTGCCTTCATGTCGTTATGTACCCAGTAGTCATTCAGGAGCAGGTTGTTCAGTTTCCATGTAGTTGAGGGGCTTTGAGTGAGATTCTTAATCCTGAGTTCTAGTTTGATTGCACTGTGGTCTGAGAGATAGTTTGTTATAATTTCTGTTCTTTTACATTTGCTGAGGACAGCTTTACTTCCAACTATGTGGTCAATTTTGGAATAGGTGTGGTGTGGTGCTGAAAAAAATGTATATTCTGTTGATTTTGGGTGGAGAGTTCTGTAGATGCCTATTAGGTCCGCTTGGTGCAGAGCTGAGTTCAATTCCTGGGTATCCTTGTTGACTTTCTGTCTCATTGATCTGTCTAATGTTGACAGTGGGGCGTTAAAGTCTCCCATTATTAATGTGTGGGACTCTAAGTCTCTTTGTAGGTCACTCAGGACTTGCTTTATGAATCTGGGTGTTCCTGTATTGGGTGCATATATATTTAGGATAGTTAGCTCTTCTTGTTGAGTTGATCCCTTTACCATTATGTAATAGCCTTCTTTGTCTCTTTTGATCTTTGTTGGTTTAAAGTCTGTTTTATCAGAGACTAGGATTGCAACCCCTGCCTTTTTTTTGTTTTCCATGTGCTTGGGAGATCTTCCTCCATCCTTTTATTTTGAGCCTATGTGTGTCTCTGCCTGTGAGATGGGTTTCCTGAATACAGCACACTGATGGGTCTTGACTCTTTATCCAATTTGCCAGTCTGTGTCTTTTAATTGGAGCATTTAGTCCATTTCCATTTAAAGTTAATATTGTTATGTGTGAATTTGATCCTGTCATGATGATGTTAGCTGGCTATTTTGCTCGTTAGTTGATGCAGTTTCTTCCTAGTCTCAATGGTCTTTACATTTTGGCATGGTTTTGCAGCGGCTGGTACCGGTTGTTCCTTTCCATGTTTAGTGCTTCCTTCGGGAGCTCTTTTAGGGCAGGCCTGGTGGTGACAAAATCTCTCAGCATTTGCTTGTCTCTAAAGTATTTTATTTCTCCTTCACTTATGAAGCTTAGTTTGGCTGGATATGAAATTCTGGGTTGAAAATTCTTTTCTTTAAGAATGTTGAATATTGGCCCCCACTCTCTTCTGGCTTGTAGGGTTTCTGCCAAGAGATCCGCTGTTAGTCTGATGGGCTTCCCTTTGCGGGTAACCCGACCTTTCTCTCTGGCTGCCCTTAACATTTTTTCCTTCATTTCAACTTTGGTGAATCTGACAATTATGTGTCTTGGAGTTGCTCTTCTGGAGGAGTATCTTTGTGGTGTTCTCTGTATTTCCTGAATCTGAATGTTGGCCTGCCTTGCTAGATTGGGGAAGTTCTCCTGGATAATATCCTGCAGAGTGTTTTCCAACTTGGTTCCATTTCCCCATCACTTTCAGGTACACCAATCAGACGTAGATTTGGTCTTTTCACATAGTCCCATATTTCTTGGAGGCTTTGCTCATTTCTTTTTATTCTTTTTTCTCTAAACTTCCCTTCTCACTTCATTTCATTCATTTCATCTTCCATTGCTGATACCCTTTCTTCCAGTTGATCGCATCGGCTCCTGAGGCTTCTGCATTCTTCATGTAGTTCTCGAGCCTTGGTTTTCAGCTCCATCAGCTCCTTTAAGCACTTCTCTGTATTGGTTATTCTAGTTATACATTCTTCTAAATTTTTTTCAAAGTTTTCAACTTCTTTGCCTTTGGTTTGAATGTCCTCCCATAGCTCAGAGTAATTTGATCGTCTGAAGCCTTCTTCTCTCAGCTCGTCAAAGTCATTCTCCATCCAGCTTTGTTCCGTTGCTGGTGAGGAACTGCATTCCTTTGGAGGAGGAGAGGTGCTCTGCTTTTTATAGTTTCCAGTTTTTCTGTTCTGTTTTTTCCCCATCTTTGTGGTTTTATCTACTTTTGGTCTTCGATGATGGTGATGTACAGATGGGTTTTTGGTGTGGATGTCCTTTCTGTTTTTTAGTTTTCCTTCTAACAGACAGGACCCTCAGCTGGAGGTCTGTTGGAGTACCCTGCCGTGTGAGATGTCAGTGTGCCCCTGCTGGGGGGTGCCTCCCAGTTAGGCTGCTCAGGGGTCAGGGGTCAGGGACCCACTTGAGGAGGCAGTCTGCCCGTTCTCAGATCTCCAGCTGCGTACTGGGAGAACCACTGCTCTCTTCAAAGCTGTCAGACAGGGACATTTAAGTCTGCAGAGGTTACTGCTGTCTTTTTGTTTGTCTGTGCCCTGCCCCCACAGGTGGAGCCTACAGAGGCAGGCAGGCCTCCTTGAGCTGTGGTGGGCTCCACCCAGTTCGAGCTTCCCGTGTTTACCTAAGCAAGCCTGGGCAATGGCAGGCGCCCCTCCCCCAGCCTCGCTGGGGCCTTGCAGTTTGATCTCGGACTGCTGTGCTAGCAATCAGTGAGACTCCATGGGCATAGGACCCTCTGAGCCAGGTGCGGGATAGAATCTTGTGGTGAGCGGTTTTTTAAGCCCGTCGGAAAAGTGCAGTATTCGGGTGGGAGTGACCCGATTTTCCAGGTGCCGTCAGTCACCCCTTTCTTTGACTAGGAAAGGGAACTCCCTGACCCCTTGCGCTTCCCGAGTGAGGCAATGCCTCACCCTGCTTCAGCTTGCGCACGGTGCGCACACCCACTGACCTGCGCCCACTGTCTGGCACTCCCTAGTGAGATGAACCCGGTACCTCAGATGGAAATGCAGAAATCACCCGTCTTCTGCGTCGCTCACGCTGGGAGCTGTAGACCGGAGCTGTTCCTATTCGGCCATCTTGGCTCCTCCCCCCATAAAAGCAAAAATCCCAGTTGTTTTCTAAAAAATAAAGGACTACATATGCAGTGACTAAATTTAATATAATTTTATTGTTATTAGTATTGAAACTATGAGGTGTTGAACCTTCACACTTTAAAAACTAAGAGCAGAAAATATAAAAATATAATCTGTGAACCAAACACATTCTAAATATATGCTACATTTCTTTTCATAATTCATAATACCTCAAAAAATTCTAAGATATGCCCCCTGATTATGTATGTAGATTAATGGCATAATACAGCTGAAATTAGGAAGCAATTGTAAAATCCGGTTTTATTATGACCATCTTTGATGTAAACAAAATTTTGAGGATTACTGAAGTCACAAAACTCTGTCCTAAATCATTTTTTTTTTTAAATCATAGATTCAAGGGGTACATGTACAGTTTTGTTACACTGCATATTGATGAAGTCTGGACTTTTAGTGTACCCATCACCCAAGTTATGAACATTGTACCCAAGAGGTAATTTTTCTACTCTCTCTCCCTGCTTTTGGAGTCTCCAGTGTCTATTATTTCTCTCTATATGTTCATGTTTACCCATTGTTTAGCTCCCACTTATAAGTGAGAACATGCAGTGTTTGATTTTCTGTTTCTGAGTTATTTCCCTCAGAATAATGGCCTCCAGCTTGATCTATGCTACTGAAAAAGGGATGATTGTATTCATTTTCATGGATGCATAGTATTCTGTGGTGTATATATTCCACATTTTCTTTATCCAGTCATCCATTGATGGACACTAAGGTTGATTCCATATCTTGCTAATGTGACTAGTGCTGCAATTAACATTCAAGTACAGGTGTCTTTTTGATATAATGATTTAAATAGATTATTTATTTATTAATTTAAAATAAATGATGTATTATCCTTTGAGTAGATACACAATAATGGGATTTCTTTGTTGAATGGTGGTACTATTTTTAGTTTTTTGAGAAATCTCCATACGGTTTTTTATGAAGGTTGAACTAATTTACATTCTCACCAACAATGTACAAGCATTCCCTTTTCCCTGCATCCTCACTAACATCTGTTATTTTTTTGACTTTTTAATAATAGCCATTCTGACCCATGTGAGATGGTATTTCATTGTGGTTTTGATTTGCATTTTTCTGAAAATTAATTATGTTGAGCATTTTTCATGTTTGTTGGCTGCTTGTATGTTAAATCATTCTTTTTTACTTAAAACAAACATATTTTAAACCCATTTATGTGCACATGTTTTTTTTTTCCTTTCAGAAAGAGTAAGAGATGATAAGCCCTTAAGTTATACACTATGACTTGTTTTAAAAAAGAAATTTCAAAAAGGATAGGAAATACTTTAGGCACCCAGTGAGTGTATGCATATTTGAAATGGTACTCATTTATAAAATGTGTGGTTCACTATAGTCACCCCCTTTACAAAAAAAAAACCAAGTGTTGGCCAGGCATGGTGACTCATGCTTGTAGTCCCAGCACCTTGGGGCTGAGGCAGGAAGATCATTTGAGCCCAGGAGTTCCAGGCTTCAGGGAGCTGTGATTGTGCCACCCCGTTTCAGCCTAGGCAAACAAATGAGACACTGTCTCTAAAAAATACTCTTTATTAAAAAAATCATGGAATTTCCAATTCAATTTCAAATGTCAGTGAAATGTTTCCTCTTTCCAGATTGGCCAACGGTGTTTGCATCACTTAGGTAACAACTCTAAATACTTCCAGCATTGTTTTCACTATGGCTGGAGAATAATTTTTATGCATATACATCAAAGGAAAAATTGAGTCCTAGAAATCACCAGGAAGAGTCTTTTGGATTTTAAACTTACCATTTCTACTATATATCACATACAATGATTTTAAATTTTTTTAGTGAAAAAATGTTATTAAGTCTGTGCAGTTTGGCATCAAGGAAATGAATATCATCTTTCTGTTTGGTAATGTAGTTTCTTCTTATTAGTCTTTACTCAGTATATGCTAAGGCAATTATTCTTGTTGATACCACCTGCTGTATGCAATAGAAAAACTGTATATTCCTTATGTGGAACCAGATAATCCTAAATTTAGACCACCTGTAGATTCTTAGGAATAAAGAACCTGTATGGGAATGTGAACTAGTACAACTGCTGTGGAAAACAGTGTGGAGATTCCTTAAATAACTAAAAGTAGATCTACCATTTGATCTACCAATCCCACTCCTGGGTATCTACCCAGAGGAAAATAAATTATTAATGAAAAAGATACTTGCACACATGTTTATAACAGCACAGTTTGCAATTGCAAAAATATGGAACCAGCCCAAATGCCAATCAATCAATGAGTGGATAAAGAAAAAGTGATATATAAATACATACACACACACACACACACACACACACACACACACACACACACACACACCATGGAATACTACTCAGCCGTAAAAAGAAGTGAAATAATGACATCAGCAGCAACCTGGATGGAATTGAAGACTATTATTCTAAGGGAAGTCGCTAAGGAATGGAAAGCCAAACATCATGTATTCTCACTCATAAGTGGGAGCTAAGCTATGAGGATGCAAAGACATAAGAATAATACAATGGACTTTGGGGACTCAGGGGAAAGGGCAGGAGAGGGGTGAGAGATGGTGAGAGATGGGTGCACCAAAATCTCAGAAATCATCACTAAAAAACTTATCCTTGTAATGAAACACTACCTGTTCCCCCAAAACCTATTGAAATAAAAAATAAAAATTAAAAAAAGGAATAAAGGTCCTATAACCAGTTAGATCATTATTTAGTAAAATTTCCTGATTTAACTGATTCTAACAATTAGCTTAACACAAAATATTATAAAAGAATAAATTTTCTTTAAAAAGAGTTTTGTTTGAAGAAAAAAGGGAACCTTAATATAGCTGATAGGATTTTTTTCAGATTGTACAATGTTGATTAAATAACACAAATTTCCACAGTTTTTTGTCTCTATTATTAAATCAAGCAGCTACAAAAATATAGTATTCTTATTCTCCTTATTCTCTAATCTCCAAGCATGATAGAAAGAAGAAAGATAGTTTAGCAATAAAAAATTATTTTCTCTAAGTAAACATCAAGATTATTCAACTCAATAGACTCATTTTCCTGGCCAAAATTAATAGTGATAACTGATAATAACCTTGAAGAATAGCATACAACCTTTCTTCTCTATGAGCTCTATTAAACTGGGAAAAATACAAATATATTCACATCCATCATTTCTGATTACATTATTTGAAAGCCTGGTTTATAGAAGGGAAAACTGTAGAAAAGAACTTCGCTTATTATTGCTTTACAAACAGTATAGATAAATCTAAAAAAAAAAATTCTATAAGACTTTGAAGCATAAAGATATTTCAAATTTTTAAAAAATTTAATTAAGAATTCTTTTCTCAAAATACCCATTTCATTTTAATATTGTACCCTCTTGCAAACCATACCTGATAGTATCGAGTGGAGGCCATTACACAAATCCATTATGCTAAAAGGAATTGGCCTAATCTGTCTTTCTCAAGCAACTGACCTCTAGGGCACTGTGAACTTTTGTCAGGGAGATTAGCATGCTCTCTCGCTCTCTGTCTCTCTGTCTCTCTCTCTGTCTCTCTCTCTCTCTCTCTCGAGATGGGGTCTTTGTTGCCCAAGCTAGTCTCGAACTCCTGGCTTCAAGTGATCCTCCCTGTTCAGCCTCACAAAGTGTTGAGATTACAGGCATAAGCCACTGCACCCAGCTTTCTGAAGTGAAAATATTTGACATCCAAAAAGACTAGTTTCCTGAATGGGTTAGAGGGGATGTTCAAGGCAGATGGGAATAACACAAATATCTTAACATGGTCATGGCTGGAATGTGATGATGGAGTCAAGAATTTGTCATCCATAGTTTACTATGGGAAGAAAGTATAAAATCGCTATCTGTATGTTCTCCTCATTATCAGAATATTGGCAACGTCACAAGTTATGCTGTTCATATTCCTTCCTCTGATGTCACAGAAAGACTCACTATACCTTGTCAAATCGGGTTTGGAAGCCAGGCTTTAGATACTGTCACCACTGCCACTGTCACACTTTACAGTCAAATACTATCACCACTGCCACTATCACATCTTACAGTCAAAGAGACCTTCCTAATTTTAAAAGTGCTATACCTGGAGTAAACATATGATCCTGTTTGCCACAGGTGGTCCTGGTTTATAGATATTGTACCAGTATAATTAACAATATCTCCCTCCTGCAGTCTCAAAATTGTCCTGGTTTAGATGATGAAATTATTTAGTCACACTAACTTAAGCATTCATTCACACCGTCAGTCTATGAACTCCATGGATCTATCAGAAAAATGACATGGATTTTACATAACAGATGAGAAAACTGAGGCCTTGAGAGAGTTATTGAACCTAAACTAGGACTTTTGGCTCATTTATCATGACTTTTTCCTCTCTACATACTAAGTGTACAGAGCTGGGTCCAGAGTGCTTCAGGAACTACCACTCAGGCAGAAGAGCTGCTGTCCTGATGTCTTGTAATATACTTAAAATAAGTTTATTCTCCATAGAGTAGTTAGAGATTGCCCCCGAATTCTTATTTGTTGTGTGTGTGTGTGTGTGTGTGTGTGTGTGTGTGTGTGTGTGTGTGTGTGTGTGTGTGAGAGAGAGAGAGAGAGAGAGAGAAAGAGAGAGATTGGTCAGATCCTTACGGGCCAAAGAGAATCTGATAACAGCCCACGCTGCCAGCCTTCTGAATTTCACAATGCCACGAAATAGCCTCAAGAACTCCCAGATGTACTGGCAGCTCTTCTGAACGCTGTACCCCTAGGTGCCTGATTCCTGGATCTAGCCAATAGGAGCTATACTAATCCTGCCCCACCAAGTTTATGACACATATTGTCACCCCAAAAAATGCCAAGTACAGAATTAGGTAACAATAGTTTCTCTATGTGCACAGTCTTATGCAGTGAAAGCTTTATAATCACAGGATCTTGCCTTTCCCCCAAGTTTTGCCCATTTTCCTTCTGTTTTAGAAAATGAGTGTTTACTATCATGGTTTAAACAATTGCAAGATAAAAGCAAATGTTAAACAATAATTCAGCAATTTTGAATTTGCCTAGGAGGAGATATTTTAATTTGCTGTTTTTTTAGAGTTGATGCTATTTCACAATTAAAAATAATTTCAAAAGTAATAGCACAGCTTAAAAGAAGAAAGATTACAAAAATAATTTATTATGAAACAAGTAGATGCATTTGAAAAGAAAAAAGCGTTTAATTACATCTTAGTATATTTGCAGTGATTCATGATGGCTATTTACATCAAATGATTTTTTAAATATTAAATATTAATTCCATTTAAATGCAATAAGTTGTATGGAGAATTTTCATCTTTATTTCAGAGCCATGCTACTTTAAAATTCGTCATTAGAGCTAATAAGAAATTATATTGGAACTACTCTGTACATTTAAATGAAGCATAAATCAATTATTGAAGCAAGGAATTTTTTCATCATTATAATGATTATTGGAATAAATTTAGTTCTTCAATGCTGCCTAATGATATCTTCAATAACAAAAATTTGCATAGACTTAATTTTTACTAGGAACTCTTTAAATGTGCTTACAATGTCTTTTTTCAGGAAAAAATATTTTAAAAAATTATCATGCAGTATTGGAGTGCTCTAAATGCCAGATTTAGTTATCCTCAATACGCTGGAAACCAAAATTAGATTCAGAATCAATACACTGTACTATCCATTTAACATCTAGTACACCAAACACTAACAACATTTATAAAAGAGTAACAGACTCAGAAAGGTTAAGCTGGTTAAACCGATCAATATACCAAAGCAGTATTACAGAAAGTAGAATTTTGTATATCAGTGGCTTCCTCAGTTGTGATGCACAGAAGCTATTTCTCTTTTAGAAGAATATCATTTGGAATTTCTTTTGAAATTCACATGAAAGTTCCTTTAGTGAGGCATGAAGCACAGGCACCTGCTGGCAGTATCATACACTTTGAACATCTCACCTTTTGTGGAGAACAAAACAGGGCAAATATAAGATATGTGTTTGCTGCCTTGCTGATTAAATCCTGGTGTAAATTAGTAGAATTATGTAATCATCACTTATTATTATTGTTAAGTGCACACTACATGCCAAGAATTTGGAAAAAAAAAACTTCATATGCATTACCTTATTTGGTCCTTAAAATCGTCTTTCTCATCTTCCTGATGAGGAAGCAGACAGAGAGTAAATGTCACTGGTCAGGGTTCCACCGGCCATGCCAGAACCCCCATTTGGTCTATCTGATGCCAAAGACCTAACTAACTCTACACAAGTGTGTCATAGTTTAATCTGCAGCAATCCCAGGAACTCAAGACTCTCTGAATCAACAAAACGATAAAATTAAGTGATGAAGATTTGTCATTAGGTCTCCCTACACACACAGGTATACACTATTTAGATTAATCAATAGAAACAGGACCCTAAAAAGTTCTGAACATTGATCTACACATGAAAATTTTGAAATACACCCCCAAAATGATACTTTGTTAACTATAACTTCGAATCCAGGCACTGCAAGATAATAACAGGTGTTCTGTAGATCTGGCCATCAGAAGGTGATGTGTTCCCCTCAGTGACTAATCCACTGCACTCCATGCAGATCCATGTTACTCCCTTCTAAGGCAGGAGTGATCCCAGTGGAATCTTGATACCTTGATAGAGCTGATCAGTTACAAATTGAGTCACTAATAATACCTAACATACTGATGCTTGAAAACAGCCAGAAAGATAGATTAGATAGATAGATAGACAGATGAGATAGAGAGATAGTTTATTACTTAAAAATACAACTTTCATGTCAATATGCTTTCTTAATGTGAAGAAAGGGGTTGAGTTTCAGCTAACCTTTAGGGAATTTCCTTATCAAGAGTCCATCAATAATGTTAGTTTTATTGTATGTGTGTTTTCTGCACCAGAAAAAAAGGTTTACCACAGTGGCTCAAGGAAAACGGAACCAGAGTAAGACAGTTTCTACTTGGACTTGGGGAACCAGCAAACTCATTCACTTACAATCAAGAACAAACCGATTAAATTGAATAAAGGTAGGTTATATTATGTTTATATTTATTCATTATATTATATTGTTTAGAGATGTTATGATTTACATTTCAAATTACTGCTTTATTGACTATGACTGCAAAGACTAAGACTTTTTTGGTGTATATAGAAAATTGTCTGAGCTCACATGCTCCTAAGAAATCCAATTCATGAATACACAGTAATCTATAGGAATACATTTATGTTGATGGGAATAAATCTGGATAACCTAAAAGGGAATAATATATTGTATACGATTATATTAATCTTGGGGTTTTTTTTTTGCTAACTCCTAGGAGGTACATGATTACACTTTCAGTAACAAAATTCTCTGTAAATGTGCTTAAATACAGAAGTACTTAATGACAATTTTTAGGTATATCATACTTCACTCAGCTATCAGTATTTTATATTAATAAATTGTATAAAGAAGCTAAGCAGACAAAAAAACTGATGTAAACATTTTCTGTATAATCCTTTTTCTACTTAGAATCTGGCAAATCTAGCTACTATGGTTTGGCTTAGTGTCCCCACCCAAATCTCATGTCGAATGTGCTGGAGAAGGAGCCTGGTGGGAGGTGATTGGATCATGGGGGTGAATTTCCTCCTTGCTGTTCTCATGAATGTGAGTAAGTTCTCACGACATCTGATGGTTTAACAATGTGTGGCACTTCCCCCTGCTCTCTTTCTCTCTCTCCCCTGCCACCATGTAAAGAAGGTCCTTGTTTCCCCTTCACCTTCCACCATGATTGTAAGTTTCCTGAGGCCTCTCAGTCATGCTTCCTGTTAAGCCTGTGGAACGGTGAGTCAATTAAATATCTTTTCTTCATAAATTACCCAGTCTCAGGTATTTATTTACAGCAGTATGAGAATGGACTAAGACATTAGCCAAGTCCAATACTCTGAGATACAAAATTAAGCATGTGAGCACCAAGGCAGGAGTCAGAAGTCTGAACCCAAGCGTGACTCCGCCACTTATTAGCTGAGTAACCTTTAGAAATTCTCTTGATTTTTCTGGTTCTTAGTGTTATAATCTGTGCAAAAAGGGGGTTTAAAAATATACTTATGTGCTAAAATTATTGATAAGGACTTTAAATTTTCAATTAAGTAATGCGGAATTATTCAGGAAATGTTTGAATGATTATTTATAAAAATATATTTGATAGATTTCTTTGTCTTCCATTTTTTACCCCCAACCAAATTTTTTCCTCTTGATAAAGACTATAGAGAGTGGATATATATTGAATTATATCAGTACATTTATACAACACAGAAATTCTGCAAGGGAAGTCATTATCATCATATCCATTTCATAGAGAAAAGCAATGAGGCCTAACACTACTGACATTCCAGGAGTTAAGCAGTTTTATAAAGACAATATGGGAATTAATATTTAAGTGCTTCCTAAGTTTTACCCCTATGGAAGTGTGTTACTTTTCCATTGGTTATTCATGTCTATGTCCTTCACATGACCATGAACCCTGTGAGGGACATTTTAAAATTTCTCCCAGCATTTGTCTCAATGCTTGGGGCATCACGGTTACTATGATTAAAGTTTGTGTAACTTGTTAGACATTGTTTTTGATACAAGGAAATATCAGCAGTGACCTGTGATCTGCAGACCTCTTCTGTCTTAAGAGCACAGCTGCCCAGTGGTTACACTAGCTTTGGACATTGAGTGGGCAACAGCAGGACAGATGGGAGCAATATGGGAAAAGAAGCTCAAAATTATGAGCTATCTGTGCTATTATATTTCCTCATTGCTATTAATTTCCTTCCCTAATCCATTGAGTTAGCAATCTTAGATGCTGTTGGCCACCCGTTTACAGTTTTCCTGAGGGCTTATCACTCAGTTTCTTTTTCCATGAGAACAGCATATTATCTCAAGTGGAGATCTTGTTTGCTTTTTCAAGTTCTTCCTTGCACTGAGCTCACCCACTGTCCTAGTTCTGCTGTCTACTCTTTGTATTTTCTGCATGCCATTGTCATGCAGCAGCAGGATTTTAGGAATTTCTAAACTTAAAAATCCCCAACATTACAAGGCGGATTTTTACAAATAAGTTCGTTATGATATAATAGTCACTACAGATAATAGATTCACAGAGGCCCTTTTGTGTTAATTCCTTTCTGCTCTCAAATGTAAGAAACATCAGCTGGGGCTGGTTTTAGAATTATTATCCCACCGCTTACTGATGAAGAGTTTGGCAACTTATTTACAGTATCAGTGCGTAATGAGCTAATATGTATGAAAATGTGTAGTGTAGTGTTTGGCACATGATCGATTTCCTTCTTTCCTAGTCACAGGATTGTCACTTAGATTTTGCTCCATCCTATGAATATTACCCACTGTTTATCTAAACATTTAAAAAAATGTTTGTATCTTTCCAGATTTTGATAATGGCTAGAAACCACATTTATAAAGTTTTCCATCTATTGATTTGTCATACTTACATTTATTTTCTGTGAATTTAATCTTTTACATTAGTGTCAAATCATCAAGCACCTTCTAGTTCTATTATAAGGATTTGTCCATATTATCAAAGCTAGTCATACATTACAGATCAACTCTGCTACTAACGATAACCAAGATTTTGAGTTCTAATCCTGATAAAAATAATAAAATATAGTAAGACATACAAACACATTGAAAAATTGTAAAGTGTGATACATTACAAAGTTTCACACTACAACTTAACTGGCATGGTAGAGACGGGACATTGTAGTATAATTTAAATTTCAATTATTTGAAGACCAACCAATTTATGTGGATAAATTGCTTTAGAAAGGGACACTACTGGTAAGAGTGGGATTTTGTCTCCTAGACAATTTCACTATAACTCTTAGTATGTTAGGCAATTTCTTGGTTATAGTAATTTAGAAAAATAGCAAGTGCCCAATAGTGAAACCAAAATTTCAACATTGATGTTTTTGAAAGACGTCTCATAAGAACACAGTGAACATAAAGCTAGATATATTGTAGATCCAAAGAATTTGCTGCCTCTTTTCTACTCATTCTCCTGCTCTTGGTGTGACTGTATTTTTTTTTATTTTTATCATTCAACCTCACCTATATGTATAATCCCCACTCTCTGGGCTGAGAATCCATTCTGCTCTGCAAAGTTCACCCATGCCTAGTAAGAGATATGCTCAGTAAAAAACATTGTGTGTCACTTGTTCCCATGCAATATTGTTTACAAACAGAAAAATCCCATGAATCAAATTACCAAAAGATCAAGTGTGTAGTGAAAAATAAGAATTCTCCTTTCTGATATCCAAAGGCAGGCAGTAGGAAATATAAAGGTTGTACATAAAAAAATACAAAGTACTTGGAAGCATGAGATATTTCACAAATCTGTTTCTGTTACCATCTCTATATTTTTAAATAGCTACATTTTTTATGAAGTCATTCTTAGAGACACGCTCATGAGAAATACTCTTTGTTTTTCGTATTCAAATGGGAATTATTTTTTCCTCCACAGGACACAACCATTTATTGTCTTTGCAATAATCAGATATCCGACAAATTCTTTGGGCCCATTGCACAGATGTAGGCAGTAAAACATTGAAAGACTGTAACTAGGTCAGGCTCAGAGGTGATGCTAGTTACTGAAATTCACTTTTATAATTCCCTATTTTATGAAATAAGTCTTTGGGACAAGGCTTCTTGATGTGGCATATATCATATCGCACTGTTTTGACAGGAAGAGAAACATATCTAAATTAAATCATTGCCATAGTCAAACCTGCTAGAAATGCTTTGTCAGCAATGACAAAGTTTTCATATTTGATTTAAGTTATAAAATTGCAGAATTTCAAGCTGAAAGGGACCACAGAGATAATGTAATCCACCTCATCATTTCCCAAATGAGGAGACTGATTCACAAAGAAGTGATGCAAATTACCCAAGTAGATACTGTAAATATTGTAAATATTCTACACAAACCCATCATTTTATACATGGTTAAAGTGACATAATTTTATACATGGGTAAGCCAGAGAGAATAAGTGACTCCTTCAATGCTGCCTGAGTGATTAGTAGGCAAAAGAATCTAGATCTCCAGAATATTAGTCTTAGGCTTTTATTTAAATGTTTATTTCCTTTGTGCCAGGTAATTTACCAAGTACCTTACGAACATTATCTCCATTAATCCTCATAAAAACACTATGGTAAGTACTATTATTATTCAAGAAGGAACCTGAGACTTATTGAAATTAAATGACTTCCGTGGATCAGAGCCAGGACTCAAAGCCACGTCTGTCTTAATAGAAAGCTCTCAACCAGCATGCCCAAATAAAATAAAATGTGAGCTACATATGTGATTTTTAAAATATTTTGTTTTAAGCACATTTTAAAAAGTAAAAAAAGAAACAAGTGAAAATTTCATTTTAATAATATATTTCATTTAATCCAGTATATCTAAAATATTATTTCAGCATACATTCAATATAAAAAATTATTATATCACATTCTTTTCTTTGAACTCTTTGCTTATGTTACATCTCAATTTAAACAAACCACATTTCAAGTGTTCAGTAGGCAGATCTGGTTAGTAGCTACCATATTGGACAGTGTAACCCTAGATGATTATGTTCAGTTGTCCATAAACTCTAGTTTAACTACATGAATGTTGACGCAACTTCAGAACAAATTATCAATCAGACTTTATTTTGTTATATTTAGCTCTTGCCTGGATATCACATTCAACATTGCACTACCTGGTCCAAGGCAGATCACACTAATCTGTGATCTCTTGCCTGCATCTCCCAATGAACTATTTTCATTGTTACTGTATGTACAATGAAAGGCCACCAGGAAAAAACAAAAACAAAAACTTGACCTAAGGCTCAGACATTCTCTATCCTCACAGCGCAGAATCCCATCCCAAGAAAAGCCTCTATGAAGTAAGTGCCATATCCAAAGGAATCAGTTCAGTATCAATTACTCAAGAAATTCAAAAATACTGATAGTTCAACATACCTTAATTCTGGTGGCTCTGCTCTCAAAGTGCCCCTTTTACCAGGAAACAAGCAGTAGATATGTTTTGACTCGGATGGTTTTCCAACTTTGGAAGATGTTGCAACCCATTTAGATGAAGGGGGAGGGGCTCAGCATTAAGCATATGTTGAGCATCCATCTCTGCCTCATTTCTTAGACTACGGACAGCAATGAACATCACCAGTTGACAATGCTTGTTCTCATTCAACACCATTTTCACCACTGGGAAGCAATATACATAATGAGAAGAAACAGGAAGATTGTTGGGAAACCCACTAATAAATGAGAATATATAAGGTGCAAAGTGAGGAAAGATAATTATGTGAGCCAAATCTGTAAGTAATGAAAAATAACTATTCCATAAACTCCATGAGCTCATATCTCTACATTATCTAATTCCTATTACTTTCCAAAACCTGTAATTTATTCATGTAAATCTGAGTACTGTGTTTTACTGATAAGAAAGCCTAAAGAGACTGGGAACTGTTCTAAAATTTCCATATTTCAGAGTGAAGTACCATATCTGCCATTGATCTGCCTTTTTTTATTATTATTATACTTTAAGTTCTGGGATACATGTGCAGAACGTGCAGATTTGTTACATAGGTATACATGTGCCATGGTGGTTTGCTGCACCCATAAACCTATCATCTACATTAGGTATTTTTCCTAATGCTATTCCTCTCGTAGACCCTCACCCCGCGACAGTCCCCTGTGTGTGATGTTCCCCTCCCTGTGTCCATGTGTTCTCATTGTTCAACTCCCACTTATGAGTGAGAACATGCGGTGTTTGGTTTTCAGTTCCTGTGTTAGTTTGCTGAAAATGATGGTTTCCAGCTTCATCCATGTCCCTGCAAAGGACATGAACTCATCTTTTTGTGGCTGCATAGTATTCCGTGGTGTCTATGTGCCACATTTTCTTTATCCAGTCTATCATTGATGGGCATTTGGGTTGGTTCCAAGTCTTTGCTATTCTGAATAGTGCTGCAATAAACATATGTGTGCATGTGTCTTTATAGCAGAATGATTTATAATCCTTTGAGTATATATCCAGTAATGGGATTGCTGGGTCAAGTGGTATTTCTGGTTCTAGATCCTTGAGGAATTTGACACACTGTCTTCTACAATGGTTGAACTAATTTACATTCCCACCAACAGTGTAAAAGCGTTCCTATTTCTCCACATCCTCTCCAGCATCTGTTGTTTCCTGACTTTTGAATGATCACCATTCTAACTGGCATGAGATGCTATCTCATTGTGGTTTTGACTTGCATTTCTCTAATGGTCAGTGATGATGAGCTTTTTTTCTTGTTTGTTGGCCACATAAATGTCTTCTTTTGAGAAGTTTCTCTTCATATCCTTCACCTACTTTTTGATGAGGTTGTTTTTTTTCTTGTAAATTTAAGTTTCTTGTAGATTCTGGATATTAGCTCTTTGTCAGATGGATAGATTGCAAACATTTTCTCCTATTCTGTAGGTTGCCTGTTCACTCTAATGGTAGTTTCTTTTGCTGTGCAGAAGCTCTTTAGTTTAATTAGATCCCATTTGTCAATTTTGGCCTTTATTGCCATTGCTTTTGGTGTTTTAGTCATGAAGTCTTTGCCCATACCCATGTCCTGAATGGTATTGCCTAGGTTTTCTTCCAGGGTTTTTATGGTTTTAGGTCTTACATTTAAGTCTTTAATCCATGTTGAGTTAATTTTTGTATAAGGTATAAAGAAGAGATACAGTTTCAGTTTTCTGCATATGGCTAGCCAGTTTTCCCAACACCATTTATTAAATAGATGTTGAGGCAGGCAGAAGGGAGACGCAACGAGACCACAGGGAATGCTGGAAGCCTCCCAAGAATGCCTCTTCCATCCCAGAAGCCCCCAGGGCTGTCCTGGACAGGCTGTAATGCCCCAGGCTTTTTTAGCAGGTTGCCTGGGTATCTCGCAGAAGGCCCCCACAAGCGAAAACGTGGCCACAGGGTGGCCTGGGTGGGCTGCAGGGACTCAGGGGCACATTGAGAAGCAGGCAGAAGGGGGAAGTGGCAAGACTGCTTTGTCAGGTTTGTCAAAGATCAGATTGTTTTAGATGTGTGGCATTATTTCTGAGGCCTCTGTTCTGTTCCATTGGTCTGTGTATCTGTTTTGGTGCAAGAACCATGCTGTTTTTGTTACTGCAGCCTTGTAGTATAGTTTAAAGTCAGGTAGCATGATGCCTCCAGCTTTGTTCTTTTTGCTTAGGATTGTCTTGGCTATATGGGCTCTTTTTTGGTTCCATATGAAATTGAAAGTAGTTTTTTCTAATTCTGTGAAGAGTGTCAGTGGTAGCTTAATGGGGATGGTATTAAATCTATAAACTACTTTCAGCAGTATGGCCATTTTCATGATATTGACTCCTCCTATTCATGAGCATGGAATGTTTTTCCATTTATTTGTGTCCTCTTTTATTTCGTTGAGCAGTGGTTTGTAGTTCTCCTTGAAGAGATCCTTCACATCCCTTGTAAGTTGTATTCCTAGGTAATTTTATTCTCTTTGTAGCAATTGTAAATGGGAGTTCACTCATGATTTGGCTCTCTGTTTGTCTATTATTGGTGTATAGGAATGCTTTTGATTTTTGCACATTGATTTTGTATCCTGAGACTTTGCTGAGGTTGCTTATCAGCTTAAGGAGATTTGGGGCTGAGACAATGGGCTTTTCTAAATATACAATCATGTCATCTGCAAACAAAGACAATTTGACTTCCTCTCTTCCTAATTAAATACCTTTATTTATTAATTTTGCCTGATTGCCCTCGCCAGAACTTGCAATGCTACATTGAATAGGAGTGTTGAGAGAGGGCATCCTTTGCTTATGCAGGTTTTCAAAGGGAATGCTTCCAGCCTTTGCTCATTCAGTATGATATTGGCTGTGGGTTTGTCATAAATAGCTCTTGCTATTTTGAGATACATTCCATCAATACCTAGTTTATTGAGAGTTTTTAGCATGAAAGGGTGTTCAATTTTGTCAAAGGCCTTTTCTGCATCTATTGAGATAATCGTGGTTTTTGTGATTGGTTCTGTTTATGTGATGGATTACATTTATTGATTTGCATATGCTGAACCAGCCCTGCGTCCCTGGGATGAAGCAGAGTTGATCGTGGTGAATAAGCTTTTTGATGTGCTGCTGGATTCCGTTTGCCAGTATTTTACTGAGGATTTTTGCATCCATGTTTATCAGGGATATTGCCCTGAAATTTTCTTTTCTTGTTGTGTCTCTGCCAGGTTTTGGTATCAGGATGATGCTGGCCTCATAAAATCAGTTAGGGACGATTCCCTCTTTTTCTATTGTTTGGAATACTTTCAGAAGGAATGGTACCAGCTCATCTTTGTACCTCTGGTAGAATTCAGCTGTGAATCCATCTTGTCCCGGGCTTTTTTTGGTTGGCAGGCTATTAATTACTGCCCCAATTTCAGAACTTGTTACTGGTCTTTTCAGGGATTCGACTTCCTCCTGGTTTAGTCTTGGGAGGGTGTATGTGTCCAGGAATGTATCCATTTCTTCTAGATTTTCTAGTTTATTTGCATAGAGGTGTTTTTAGTATTCTCCAATGGTATTTTTTATTTCTATGGGATCAATGGTGATATCCCCCTTATTTTTTATTGTGTCTATTTGATTATTCTCTGTTTTCTTTTTTATTACTCTGGGTAGCAGTCTATCTATTTTTTTTTCCAAAAAAAATCTTATCAAAAAGCCAGCTCCTGGATTCATTGATATTTTGAAGAGTTTTTCATGTCTCTGTGTCCTGCAGTTCTGCCCTGATCTTAGTTATTTCTTGTCTTCTGGTAGCTTTTGAATTTGTTTGCTCTTGCTTCTCTAGTTCCTTTAATTGTGGTGTTAGGGTGTCTATTTTAGATCTTTCCCACTTTCTCCTGAGGTTACTTAGGGCCACAAATTTCCCTCCAAACACTGTTTTGTCTGTGTTCCAGAGATTCTGGGACAAAGACCCAACATATGTCTTTGTTCTCATTGCTTCCAAAGAACTTGTTTATTTCTTCTGCCTTAATTTCGTTATGAACCCAGTAGTCATTCAGGAGCAGGTTGTTCAGTTTCCATGTAGTTGTGCGGTTTTGAGTGAGTTTCTTAATCCTCAGTTCTAATTTGATTGCACTGTGGTCTGAGAGACTGTTATGATTTCCATTCTTTTGCATTTGCTGAGGAGTGTTTTACTTCCAATTATGTGGTCAATTTTAGAGTAAGTGTGATGTGGTGGTAAGAAGAATCTATATTCTGTTGACTTGGGGTAGAGAGTTCTGTAGATGTCTATTAGGTCTGCTTGGTCCAGAGCTGAGTTCAAGTCCTGAATATCCTTGTTAATTTTATATCTTGTTGACCTGTCTAATATTGCCAGTGGTGTGTTAAAGTCTCCCACTATTATTGTATGGGAGTCTAAGTCTCTTTGTAGGTCTCTAAGAACTTGCTTTATGAATCTGGGTGCTCCTGTATTGGGTGCATATATATTTAGGATAGTTAGCCCTTCTTGTTGCATTGATCCCTTTACCATTATATAATGTCATTCTTTGTCTTTTTTGATCTTTGTTGGTTTAAAGTCTGTTTTATCAGAGACTAGGATTGCAACCCCTGCTTTTTTTTTGCTTTCCATTTGTGTGGTAAATATTCCTCCATCCCTTTATTTTGAGCTTATATGTGTCTTTGCATGTGAGATGGGTCTCCTGAATACAGCACACCAATGGGTCTCTTTTTCCAATTTGCCAGTCTGTGTCTTTTAATTGGGGCATTTAGTCCATTTACATTTAAGGTTAACATTGTTAGTGTGAATTTGATCCTGTCATTATGATGCTAGCTGGTTATTTTGCCCATTAGTTGATGCAGTTTTTTCATAGTATCAATGGTCTTTACAATTTGGTATGCTTTTGCAGTGGCTGGTACCGGTTTTTCCTTTCCATATTTAGTGCTTCCTTCAGGAGCTCTTGTAAGGCAGGCCTGGTGGTTACAAAATCTCTCAACATTTGCTTGTCTGTAAAGGATTTTATTTCTCCTTCACATATGAAGCTTAGTTTGGCTGGATAGGAAATTCTGGGTTGAAAATTCTTTTCTTTAAGAATGTTGAATATTGGCCCCCACTCTCTTCTGGCTTGTAAGGTTTCTGCAGAGAGATCTGCTGTTAGTCTGATGGGCTTCCCTTTGTGGGTAACTCGACCTTTCTCTCTGGTTTCCTTCATTTCAACCTTGATGAATCTGACGATTATGTGTTTTGGGGTTGCTCATCTAAAGAAGTATCTTTGTAGTGTTCTCTATTTTTCCTGAATTTGAATGTTGGCCTGTCTTGCTAGGTTGGGGAAGTTCCCCTGGATAATATCCTTAAGATTGTTTTCCAGCTTGGTTCCACTGTCCCTGGCGCTTTCAGGTACACCAATCAAACATAGGTTTGGCCTTTTCACATAGTCCCATATTTCTTGGAGCCTTTGTTCGTTCCTTTTCATTCTTTTTTCTCTAATCTTCTTGCTTTATTTCATTAAGTTGATCTTCAATCTCTGATGTCTTTTCTTCTGCTTGATCAATTTGGCTATGGATACTTGTGTATGCTTCAGGAAGTTGTCATGCTGTGTTTTTCAGCTCCATCAGGTCATTTATGTTCTTCTCTAAACTGGTTATTCTAGTTAGCAATTCCACTAACCTTTTTTCAAAGTTCTTAGCTTCCTTGCATTGGGTTAGAACATGCTCCTTTAGCTCAGAGAAGTTTGTTATTAACCACCTTCTGAAGCCTACTTCTGTCAATTCATCAAACTCATTCTCCATCCAGTTTTGTTCCCTTGCTGGCAAGTAGTTGTGATCCTTTGGAGGAGAAGAGGTGTTCTGGTTTTTGGAATTTTCAGTCTTTCTGTGCTGGTTTTTCCTCATCTTCGTGGATTCATCCACCTTTGGTTTTTTATGTTGGTGACCTTTGGATGGGGTTTTTGTGTGGACAGCCTTTTTGTTGATCTTGATGCTATTCCTTTCTGTTTTTTAGTTTTCCTTATAACAGTCAGGTCCCTCTGCTGCAGGTCTGCTGAAGTTTGCTGGAGGTCCACTCTAGACCCTGTTTGTCTGGGTATCACCAGCAGAGGCTGCAGAACAGCAAAGATTGCTTCCTTTTCCTTCCTCTGGAAGCTTCGTCCCAGAGGGGCATCTTCCAGATGCCAGCCAGAGATCTCTTATATGAGGTCTCTGTCAATCCCTGCTGGGAGGTGTCTTCCCAGTCAGGAGGCACAGGGGTCAGGAACCCACTTGAGGAGGCAGTCTGTCCCTTAGCACAGCTGTGATGGGAGATCCACTGCTGTCTTCAGAGCCGACAGGCAGGAACATTTAAATCTGCTAAATGTTCAGCAGCCCCTTTCCCCAGGTGCTCTGTCCCAGGGATTATGGGAGTTTTGTCTATAAGCCTCTGACTGGGGCTGCTGCCTTTCTTTCAGAGATACCCTGCCCAGAAAGGAGAAATCTAGAGAGGCAGTCTGGCTACAGCAGCTTTGCCAAGCTATGGTGGGCTCCACCCAGTTTGAACTTCCCAGCAGCTATGTTTACATTCTGAGGGGAAAACCACCTACTCAAGCCTCAGTAACAGTGGATACCCCTCCCCTGACCAAGCTCGAGTGTCCCAGGCCAACTTCAGACTGCTTTGCTGGCCACGAGAATTTCAAGCCAGTGGATCTTAGCTTCCTGGGCTTCATGGGGGTGGGATCCACTGAGCTAGACCACTTGGCTCCCTGGCTTCAGCCCCCTTTCCAGGGGAGTGAATAATAGATGGTTCTGTCTCACTGGTATTCCAGGTGCCACTTGGGGATGAAAAAAAACTTCAGCTAGCTCAGTGTCTGCCCAAATGACTGCCCAGTTTTGTGCTTGAAACCCAGGGCCCTGGTGGTATAGGCACTGAGGGAATCTCCTGGTCTGCAGGTTGTGAAGACCATGGGAAAAGCATACTATCTGGGCCGGAATGCACCATTCCTCATGGTACAGTCCCTAATGGCTTCCCTTAGCTAGGGGAGGGAGTTCCCCGACCCCTTGTGATTCCCGGGTGATGCGATGTCCCACCATGCTTAGGCTTACCCTCCTTGGGCTGCACCTACTCTCTAACCAGTCCCAGTGAGATGAGCTGGGTACCTCAGTTGGAAATGCAGAAATCACCCACCTTCTGCATTGATCTCTCTGGGAGCTGCAGACTAGAGCTGTTTCTATTTGGCCATCTTGCCAGCCACACCCCTGATCTGCCTTTTTGAAATATTGTGTTTTTATAAGCTCCCTTTGACATATTTCTATAATATTAAAGAGTTCAGTGCAACCTACACTTAAATATGTTAATAATAAAATGTATTAAAATGAATACATTTACATCACACCCATTTCTAATATCCATAATCTATTTTCTTCTACATAGAGTAGCAGTCATTTGAAATTTAACATATTAATCGTAAAGACATTTGTTTTTCCATTTTGTTAACTTTTTGTCACATGCTTTTGTTACTGACCACATTATAGAACAAATGAGAAGAATTTAAAACAATAGGCACAGTACCTGCCTTGAAAAAATATATGATTTAAATTCTTTCTTGGGGAGACAAGACAAACAAGATAAATTACTGCATGACTCCAGTAATTGCCAAAGTAAGTAGAAGAGAAGCAAACAGAAAAACCGTGCTAATTGATTGAAGAAAAGGGGATAATAAATCTGAGAGAGCCACCTGGGAGAGTTTTAAGCCCAGCAAAGTATGGCTCAATAAAAAAAAAAAAATGTGTAATAAAAAAATGTTAAAGGAAAACCACTGGGTGACATGAAGAGGGGATTGCACTGAATTTAGGTTACAAGACAAGGCATTGAATTTTAGGTGCTGAAAACAGAGAGACATAGAGAAATGAGAACCATGAAAACAACCTGGGACATAGCAAGCAATAAAAATAAATGAATAAATGTTTATTATTATTAAAATAAATGTGGCAATGGTAAGACTACTTCACATAAAGGCAATGAATATATAACATCAACGTAATGGTTGAAATGACTTGGGAGTTATTTTAGCTGTAATGCTTTAGGGTGGAAATTGGCTAGAGTCTGGTAAACCAAGGAGAATAACACAAATAGAAGTGTAAAGCCCTAGTAGAGGCAAGGCAAAAAGGGATAGAGAAAATGGAACAATGCTTTGGAGAAACAATTGCCTAATTGTGAAAAATTACTACAGGGTACTGATTTAATAACCAAAACAATGCTGACACTCATCACTCTTTTTTATGAAAACTAGTGAAGACTGGCATAAGACTGGTCTGTTTCTGGCATGTGAACAAATCATGATATTTTGTGTGCTCAGCTTTTTGTTGAGGATGAGTGGGAGGAAAAGAGACAGATACAAAGAGAGAGAAAGAGAAACTGTTCTGGCCCACTATATAATGTTACTCTACTAAAACTGCTCTTTTAATTTCTTCAAATTTTTAAAAAGACAGAATTATATACCCAAATGGCATTATCATTACTGTTATGTTTAATGCAAATTTTATGCCATATTGTCAACCCATTTCCTTTTCTTCTGTCTTCACAGAATTCTGTCTGGAATCTATGGCCTAATTCAGTGTGCATCACATTTTTTTTATTTCAAAGAAATGAGCAAATATAAGTTCTGTGACTAGACATGCTCATTTGACATTTTGCACCAAATATACATTTTATAAATTCTATCTTTAGAATCAAGGAACTAACTGAAAATTCCTAACAGAAAATTCCTTCTGTGTTTAATTATAAGGATTTATAATGCATAAGCTACTTTTAATGATTTTTCTACCATTTTTTTATGACTGTGCCTTACTTTTGTTCCGGTTGTAAACTACCTCAAAATCTAGTGTCTTAGAATAAAAACAATTATTTATTTAGCTGACATATAGGCACTTCGGGAAGGGTATTATGGGGAAGACTTGCCCTTGCTCCACTTATCAGCTGAGGTGACTCAACTGAGCATTGTACAACCTACAGCACTTCCAAGATAGCTCACTCACCCAACTGGCAAGGTGATGGTGGCTGTCTGCTGAGAGGTCAGGACCAGAGGCTTAATTCTTTTTCTCATGGATCTCTCCACGTGGACCTCTCTGTGAGTTGCTTGGGCTTTCTCAGAGTACAATATCTGATTTCCAAGTGTGAGGATTCCAAGAAAACAGGTAGAAGATATATCACATTTTATGGCCTAAGCTTGGAAGTCACAGAGCCTCCTTCTTGCCATAGTCTCAAGTCAGCCCAGATTCAAGGAAGAGATCACATACCTCACCTCTCAATGGGAGGAATGGCAAAGTCACATGATAATGTGAATTATGTGGGATGTGAGATACTATAGTGGCCATGGATATGATTTGGATCTGTGTCCCTACCCAAATCTGATGTTCAATTATAATCCACAATATTGGAGGTGGAGGCTGGTGGAAGGTGATTGGATCATGGTGTCAGTTTCTCAGGAATCATTTAGCACCATCCTCTTGATGCTGTCCTTGTGGTAATGGGTGAGTTCTTGCAAGATCTGATTGTTTAGAAGTGTGTGGCACCTCCCCCCATCTCTCTCTTGTTCTTGCTCCTGTCATATAAGATGTTTGTACCCCTGGGGGAGGAGCCAAGATGGCCGAATAGGAACAGCTCTGGTCTACAGCTCCCAGCGTGAGCGACGCAGAAGACGGGTGATTTCTGCATTTCCTTCTGAGGTACCAGGTTCATCTCACTAGGGAGTGCCAGACAGTGGGCGCAGGTCAGTGGGTGCGCACACCGTGTGCGAGCCGAAGCAGGGTGAGGCATTGCCTCACTTAGGAAGCGCAAGGGGTCAGGGAGTTCCCTTCTAAGTCAAAGAAAGGGGTGACGGACGGCACCTGGAAAATCGGGTCACTCCCACCTGAATACTGCGCTTTTCCGACCGGCTTAAAAAACCGCTCACCACAAGATTATATCCCGCACCTGGCTCGGAGGGTCCTACGCCCACGGAGTCTCACTGACTGCTAGCACAGCAGTCTGAGATCAAACTGCAAGGCCCCAGCGAGGCTGGGAGAGGGGCGCCCGCCATTGCCCAGGCTTCCTTAGGTAAACAAAGCAGCCAGGAAGCTCGAACTGGGTGGAGCCCACCACAGCTCAAGGAGGCCTGCCTGCCTCTGTAGGCTCCACCTCTGGGGGCAGGGCACAGACAAACAAAAAGACAGCAGTAACCTCTGCAGACTTAAATGTCCCTGTCTGACAGCTTTGAAGAGAGCAGTGGTTCTCCCAGTACGCAGCTGGAGATCTGAGAACGGGCAGACTGCCTCCTCAAGTGGGTCCCTGACCCCTGACCCCTGAGCAGCCTAACTGGGAGGCACCCCCCCAGCAGGGGCACACTGACACCTCACACGGCAGGGTATTCCAACAGACCTGCAGCTGAGGGTCCTCTCAGTTAGAAGGAAAACTAACAAACAGAAAGGACATCCACAACAAAAACCCATCTGTACATCACCATCATCAAAGACCAAAGGTAGACAAAACCACAAAGATGGGAGAAAAACTGGAAACTCTAAAAAGCAGAGCGCCTCTCCTCCTCCAAAGGAATGCAGTTCCTCACCAGCAACAGAACAAAGCTGGATGGAGAATGACTTTGACGAGCTGAGAGAAGAAGGCTTCAGATGATCAAATTACTCTGAGCTACGGGAGGACATTGAAACCAAAGGCAAAGAAGTTGAAAACTTTGAAAAAAATTTAGAAGAATGTATAACTAGAATAACCAATACAGAGAAGTGCTTAAAGGAGCTGATGGAGCTGAAAACCAAGGCTCGAGAACTACGGGAAGAATGCAGAAGCCTCAGGAGCCTATACGATCAACTGGAAGAAAGGATATCAGCAATGGAAGATGAAATGAATGAAATGAAGTGAGAAGGGAAGTTTAGAGAAAAAAGAATAAAAAGAAATGAGCAAAGCCTCCAAGAAATATGGGACTATGTGAAAAGACCAAATCTACGTTTGATTGGTGTAACTGAAAGTGATGGGGAGAATGGAACCAAGTTGGAAAACACTCTGCAGGATATTATCCAGGAGAACTTCCCCAATCTAGCAAGGCAGGCCAACATTCAGATTCAGGAAATACAGAGAACCCCACAAAGATACTCCTCAAGAAGAGCAACTCCAAGACACATAATTGTCAGATTCACCAAAGTTGAAATGAAGGAAAAAATGTTAAGGGCAGCCAGAGAAAAAGGTCGGGTTACCCTCAAAGGGAAGCCCATCAGACTAATAGCGGATCTCGGCAGAAACCCTACAAGCCAGAAGAGAGTGGGGGCCAATATTCAACATTCTTAAAGAAAAGAATTTTCAACCCAGAATTTCATATCCAGCCAAACTAAGCTTCATAAGTGAAGGAGAAATAAAATACTTTAGAGACAAGCAAATGCTGAGAGATTTTGTCACCACCAGGCCTGCCTTACAAGAGCTCCTGAAGGAAGCACTAAACATGGAAAGGAACAACCGGTACCAGCCGCTGCAAAATTATGCCAAAATGTAAAGACCATTGAGACTAGGAAGAAACTGCATCAACTAACGAGCAAAATAACCAGCTAACATCATAATGACAAGATCAAATTCATACATAACAATATTAACTTTAAATGTAAATGGACTAAATGCTCCAATTAAAAGACACAGACTGGCAAATTGGATAAAGAGTCAAGACCCATCAGTGTGCTGTATTCAGGAAACCCATCTCACGTGCAGAGACACACATAGGCTCAAAATAAAAGGATGGAGGAAGATCTCCCAAGCAAATGGAAAACAAAAAAAGGCAGGGGTTGCAATCCTAGTCTCTGATAAAACAGACTTTAAACCAACAAAGATCAAAAGAGACAAAGAAGGCCATTATATAATGGTAAAGGGATCAATTCAACAAGAAGAGCTAACTATCCTAAATATATATGCACCCAATACAGGAGCACCCAGATTCATAAAGCAAGTCCTGAGTGACCTACAAAGAGACTTAGACTCCCACACATTAATAATGGGAGACTTTAACACCCCACTGTCAACATTAGACAGATCAATGAGACAGAAAGTCAACAAGGATACCCAGGAATTGAACTCAGCTCTGCACCAAGTGGACCTAATAGACATCTACAGAACTCTCCACCCCAAATCAACAGAATATACATTTTTTTCAGCACCACACCACACCTATTCCAAAATTGACCACATACTGGAAAGTAAAGCTCTCCTCAGCAAATGTAAAAGAACAGAAATTATAACAAACTATCTCTCAGACCACAGTGCAATCAAACTAGAACTCAGGATTAAGAATCTCACTCAAAACCACTCAACTACATGGAAACTGAACAACCTGATCCTGAATGACTACTGGGTACATAACGAAATGAAGGCAGAAATAAAGATGTTCTTTGAAACCAACGAGAACAAAGACACAACATACCAGAATCTCTCGGACACATTCAAAGCAGTGTGTAGAGGGAAATTTACAGCACTAAATGCCCACAAGAGAAAGCAGGAAAGATCCAAAACTGACAACCTAACATCACAGTTAAAAGAACTAGAAAAGCAAGAGCAAACACATTCAAAAGCTAGCAGAAGGCAAGAAATAACTAAAATCAGAGCAGAACTGAAGGAAATAGAGACACAAAAAACCCTTCAAAAAATTAATGAATCCAGGAGCTGGTTTTTTGAAAGGATCAACAAAATTGATAGACCGCTAGCAAGACTAATAAAGAAAAAAAAGAAGAATCAAATAGATGCAATAAAAAATGATAAAGGGGATATCACCACTGATCCCACAGAAATACAAACTACCATCAGAGAATACTACAAACACCTCTACGCAAATAAACTAGAAAATCTAGAAGAAATGGATAAATTTCTGGACACATACACTCTCCCAAGACTAAACCAGGAAGAAGTTGAATCTCTGAATAGATCAATAACAGGAGCTGAAATTGTGGCAATAATCAATAGCTTACCAACCAAAAACAGTCCAGGACCAGATGGATTCACAGCCAAATTCTACCAGAGGTACAAGGAGGAACTGGTACCATTCCTTCTGAAACTATTCCAATCAATAGAAAAAGAGGGAATCCTCCCTAACTCATTTTATGAGGCCAGCATCATCCTGATACCAAAGCCTGGCAGAGACACAACCAAAAAATAGAATTTTAGACCAATATCCCTGATGAACATTGATACAAAAATCCTCAATAAAATACTGGCAAAACGAATCCAGCAGCACATCAAAAAGCTTATCCACCATGATCAAGTGGGCTTCATCCCTGGGATGCAAGGCTGGTTCAATATACGCAAATCAATAAATGTAATCCAGCATATAAACATAGCCAAAGACAAAAACCACATGAGTATCTCAATAGATGCAGAAAAAGCCTTTGACAAAATTCATCAACCCTTCATGCTAAAAACTCAACTCAATAAATTAGGTATTGATGGGATGTATTTCAAAATAATAAAAGCTATCTATGACAAACCCACAGCCAATATCATACTGAATGGGCAAAAACTGGAAGCATTCCCTTTGAAAACTGGCACAAGACAGGGTTGCCCTCTCTCACCACTGCTATTCAACATAGTGTTGGAAGTTCTGGCCAGGGCAATTAGGCAGGAGAAGGAAATAAAGGGTATTCAATTAGGAAAAGAGGAAGTCAAATTGTCCCTGTTTGCAGATGACATGATTTTATATCTAGAAAACCCCAATGTCTCAGCCCAAAATCTCCTTAAGCTGATAAGCAACTTCAGCAAAGTCTCAGGATACAAAATCAATGTACAAAAATCACAAGCATTCTTATACACCAACAACAAACAGAGAGCCAAATCATGAGTGAACTCCCATTCACAATTGCTTCAAAGAGAATAAAATACCTAGGAATCCAACTTAGAAGGGGTGTGAAGGACCTCTTCAAGGAGAACTACAAACCACTGCTCGAGGAAATAAAAGAGGATACAAACAAATGGAAGAACATTCCATGCTCATGGGTAGGAAGAATAAATATCATGAAAATGGCCATACTGCCCAAGGTAATTTACAGATTCAATGCCATCCCCATCAAGCTACCAATGACTTTCCTCACAGAATTGGAAAAAACTACTTTAAAGTTCATATGGAACCAAAAAAGAGCCCACATTGCCAAGTCAATCCTAAGTCAAAAGAACAAAGCTGGAGGCATCACACTACTTGACTTCAAACTATACTACAAGGCTACAGTAACCAAAACAGCATGGTACTGGTAACAAAACAGAGACATAGATCAATGGAACAGAACAGAGCCCTCAGAAATAACGCCGCATATCTACAACTATCTAATCTTTGACAAACCTGAGAAAAACAAACAATGGGGAAAGGATTCCCTATTTAATAAATGGTGCTGGGAAAACTGGCTAGCCATATGTAGAAAGCTGAAACTGGATCCCTTCCTTACACCTTATGCAAAAATCAATTCAAGATGGATTAAAGACTTAAACATTAGACCTAAAACCATAAAAACCCTAGAAGAAAACCTAGGCATTACCATTCAGGACATAGGCATGGGCAAGGACTTCATGTCTAAAACACCAAAAGCAATGGTAACAAAGGACAAAATTGACAAATGGGATCTAATTAAACTAAAGAGCTTCTGCACAGCAAAAGAAACTACCATCAGAGTGAACAGGCAACCTACAAAATGGGAGAAAATTTTCACAACCTACTCATCTGACAAAGGGCTAATATACAGAACCTAAATGAACTCAAACAAATTTACAAGAAAAAA
The DNA here is from genome assembly GCF_000001405.40 of Homo sapiens. Taxonomy (NCBI): domain Eukaryota; kingdom Metazoa; phylum Chordata; class Mammalia; order Primates; family Hominidae; genus Homo; species Homo sapiens. Next base: position 37,400,317 of record NC_000015.10, on the reverse strand, counting down.
ACAAACAACCCCATCAAAAAGTGGGTGAAGGACATGAACAGACACTTCTCAAAAGAAGACATTTATGCAGCCAAAAAACACATGAAAAAATGCTCATCATCACTGGCCATCAGAGAAATGCAAATCAAAACCACAATGAGATACCATCTCACACCAGTTAGAATGGCAATCATTAAAAAGTCAGGAAACAACAGGTGCTGGAGAGGATGTGGAGAAATAGGAATACTTTTACACTGTTGGTGGGACTGTAAACTAGTTCAACCATTGTGGAAGTCAGTGTGGCGATTCCTCTGGGATCTAGAACTAGAAATACCATTTGAGCCAGCCATCCCATTACTGGGTATATACCCAAAGGACTATAAATCATGCTGCTATAAAGACACATGCACACGTATGTTTATTGCAGCATTATTCACAATAGCAAAGACTTGGAACCAACCCAAATGTCCAACAATGATAGACTGGATTAAGAAAATGTGGCACATATACACCATGGAATACTATGCAGCCATAAAAAATGATGAGTTCATGTCCTTTGTAGGGACATGGATGAAATTGGAAATCATCATTCTCAGTAAACTATCGCAAGAACAAAAAACCAAACACCGCATATTCTCACTCATAGGTGGGAATTGAACAATGAGATCACATGGACACAGGAACGGGAATATCACACTCTGAGGACTGTTGTGGTGTGGGGGGAGGGGGGAGGGATAGCATCGGGAGACATACCTAATGTTAGATGACGAGTTAGTGGGTGCAGCGCACCAGCATGGCACATGTATACATATGTAACTAACCTGAACAATGTGCACATGTACCCTAAAACTTAAAGTATATTAAAAAAAAAAGATGTTTGTACCCCTTTGCCTTCTGCCATGATGGGAAGGTTCCCAAAAAGTGGACGCCACAGAACCTTGAGCCAATTAAACCCCTTTTCTTTATAAATTACCCAGTCTTAGGTATTTCTTTATAGCAATATGGGAATGGCCAAATACAGCCATTTTTGGATAATTCAAAATCTGTTCAATTCTAAGTAAAGGAAACAAACTTCTGGTTCACTAGTCTTCCTTATATTCCTACCCAAATTGCATTACTCAGAAATCCAAAATTTCTCTCTGGGTTTGTTGGCTCTTTAAAGAGAATCACAAGGAAAGGGTTAGGAAACAGGAAGCCTTGGTCTTCAACACCGCTAGACTGACCACTGTTAGTCCTGGAGTCTAATGCCATGCACTTCCAAGAGATCACTCAGTACACCTGCTGCAAATTGAAGTCCTTCTCACTGATTTGATAGTCATGACTTAGCAAATCACAGCCCCCATAGCCCTCTCGCTATATGCAACTTCTGGAGTAAATCTAGAGAAACTAGAATATAACTTAGAAAAACAGTTTCAAATTAGACAATACACACTACCAGGGAATAGACAACAGCATGTTTTCTATTGAACATTAATTCTGAGAGTTGCCTTAAAAGATTGAGTATTTCAATGGATAGATTGAAAGAATTACTTGATCTTGGTAGAGTCCTGGCTCAGATTTAAAGGGCTGTGTACATAGTGGAACAAATACGGACTCTCAAGTGGATCGATTAAGTTTTAAATTCAGCTTTGCCATTCAACTGTGTGATCTTAGGCAAGTCACTTAATCCCTTTGAGCCTCAGTTCCCTTGTCTGTTAAGCAGGAGTAAAAACACCTACCTCACAGGGTTGTGGCAAGGACTAAATGAGACAGTGTATGGAAAGCCCTCATACCTACCACGTGGCAAGAATTTTCTTCATTCCTCTGCCGCTGACTTATGATACTTCATAGCACTTATTTTTTTTCTGAATCTCTATTGTCCCTTTTTATAGCAAAGGAACTCAGGTGAGCTTGACCTCTGTATCCCAAACCAGCAAGTTGATGACAATGCCAAGGATGGTGTAAACATATTATAATCTGAAATGTATTGTGTTCCTCAGATGCAAAAGATGCATAAGTACAGTGAAACCCTGTCATCATGTTTTCTGAAAAAAAAAAATCAGAAGCTTCCACAATTGTAAGCAAATATTAAAAAGAAGACATCACATATGTAAAAATGAAGATTCTCAAAAGAAAGTGCAAATATAGATAATCTTTACCAGAAAACACATTTATATGTGGATTTTCTTTCACTATATGAAATACTTGTGTGTGTATGTGCTATACATGCAATTTAGTTTGAGAAGAATGCTGGTAAGTCAGTTTGGTGGTGGGGAGGGCAGGGATTTCAAAAGTGTTGTTTGTCTAAAAGCCTATGGAGGACTTAATTAGACTCAATGATGAAATCACCAAAGAAATACCCATTAAGCTTTCAAGTGCACTGATGTTGCTTTGGGCTTATATTACTGGCCTTTTTCCGTGTCATTGCATCAATACCCTTTTATGATGAAACCAGCAAATAGAGGAATGTTGGCAGCCTTCACACATGCTTCATGCCCTGAGCCCAATGGGAGAAGAGTAGCAAATTTGTAATATTTGCCAAAACAGCCTAGAGACAATTGCTGGGCTGAGTTTTAAACCCTGGCAAATAACAGAAGCTAATTTCAGCTTTAGATGACAACTCACTAAATCCAGACTCTCTTTGACCAGAAGCCCAGTTCAAGCCACATCCTTCGTCTTTAACACTCAAAAGAAGAATCCCTTGGGCTCTGGAGACTCACTCGAGTGCCTACTACCAACCATCTTTTTATTCTATAATCATGATGCCTTGTTAAACCCATCTCAACACTGCCCTCCTTTATGTGGCTTTGAAGACTATAGGTTTGGGGGTCTTCTAGAACACTGCATTATTATTTTAGTTATTTTCCATTTGAGTCATTTTAAATTGGCTGCTGGCCCAAGAGGCCATTACCTGCCTTATCAGAATCAATTAGTAATCTACTAGCAAAAATTAAGTCCAGGCAAACAGAAAGGAGCAAGTCAACCTACTTCTGAGAAGAGACCCAGTTTCCTCATCTATGAAAGTTATTCCTATTTCAAAACATTGCTATAATGATCATATGAGAAAATATTTTTGAAGCAGTTTATAAAATCTACAAAGGCAAGGAAATGGGAAGGGTTCAAATTCATTATATTGAGAGACTCTGGGAAGTCAACATAGAGCCCTAGGACAGGAATGCTAAAGGGAAGCCCTCAAAGAAAAGTGTTCAGTCAGGAGAAATTAGAGCCAGGGAAGCAGGTTGGGATCAGAAGCAGGCCTCTGCTCAGCTCAACTGGTCATCTCAGGTCTGGAACTCAGGAGATGAGGGCCACTGCGGAAGTACCAATATCCAACAATGAGGATTGAAGCAGGGAGCTGTAAAAGATTCGGCTTGCCATACAGGGCAGGCAGCCTGGGGAGCCTGAATTGCCTGTTCACCGCTTTATATCTTTATAGTCTAGCCTGTCTGTTTTCCTTCAGTAAAATTTTTAAAAGAAAGAAAAAAGTTGAACTTTCAAGCATGGAATTCAAGCATGAGAATGAAATTTGCCAACGCAAAGCTAACCCTAGAGAGTAAAGAAAGCAGTATAATTTCCTAATATGTTTTCTAAACTCTAACCCTACAGAGGTCCACTTCCACTGTTTTCAGCATTCCCTAGATATTACAGCTTCCTGAGGGATGCGAAGCAACCCACTCCCAGGGTTCTCTGGGGAGGAATGCTGCCGAAATTTCTCAGTACACCCACCTCAAGAGAATATCTTAATGTCTTAACATTCTTCCTCAACCCAATTAAAATGTATATTATGTCTCCTTCCCTTGGACATCTGGTCTCTGACTAGCTGGCCATTCTGTCTTGGGGTGTGACAATAATGGTCAATAGTGACTGAAATGTTATTTCTCCTAAATAACAATTTTGCTATGGGAGAATTTTAATGTCATCAGTCAGAAGCGTGAGTATCTCATGGTGTAGCTATTGGAAGTGAAACTCTGTCCATGTTTCCAGGCATCCTTCAAATCATCCTACCAAGGTATGTACCACCTCTGTTGTACACATAAGGCATTACACAGGAAGAGATAAGTAGGTGGGTCAGTTCCAGTTGGGGGTGCTCGGTAATGATGGTGATAAAAATGGGAGCAGTAGTGGTTCATTTGAAAACCAACATATATGCAAAACCCTTTGGAAGAAAATGATGTATTATTCACCAGTTTTTATGATTTTTCTAAACAAATGCAGTTAACAATTGGAGATCGTGCATATAATTACCACCATATTAATTTATTTGACACGTATTTATTAAGCATTTACCATATGCTGGGCACACTGCCAGGTCTGGAACTTATAGTGAACAAGAAGACACAAATCTAAGCACCCAAATAAATAATTTGGTTAGATAATAACAGGGACATGCTATTTGAACTGGAAGTTAGGAAGGGACTCTTTAAGCTTGTGTCCTGAGGGACAAACAGAAATTGGGTGAAAAGAGGGAGGCAAGACCTTTCTGGGTGCTGAAATATACAAAGGCCTAGTTATTTAGCTAGGAACTGGTAAAGGACAGTATGGCTGTAGCCAGTCAAGAGCAGGGGAAAAGCAGAGTGAGGAGACCCAGAGGAGTAAGCGGTGAGCACATCACACAGCTTCCTGTAGATCTGTAAAGAACTGTGGTGTCCCTCAAAGTACAAGAGAAAGCTGTGGGCAGTGAGAATGGGCAGACTCATTCAATGAGGGGAATGGCATGATATTTAGATTCTAAAAACTCACTCATTCTGGTTCTTGTGGAGATGGAATTATAGCAGGGGCAGGGAGTTCAGAGAGACAAGCAAGAGAGGGAGCTTGGACTAGAGTGGTGGCAAAAGAGTAAAGAAGATTCAAGATATATTTTATAAGGATATTCTGAAAACCTTAATGATGGGTTGATTGGGACAAGCATTCTGTGGGACAGAGGAGGTGTCAGTCATCACTATCACATTTCTGACACAGCACCTAGACAAATGGAGGTAACATTAATGGAGATAAGTACTTTCTCATGAGCTGATGGGATTTCAACAGCATAAAATGCACACAGTGTGGATATAGGCTTCACTTTCTAATAGTCAAAGAAAATCGCATGCTGGTTGCCGTCATCATTTTAGTGTGTCTGTGTGTGACTGTACTGTACTGTGTTCGTGCTTTGTGGAGAGGAGGCTTAAAAAGGAAAATTGCAAACAAGTAGGTACCTAAAATAATGAAAAATGATCACTGACTGGTATAGATGCTGCTGGGAAGTCTTTCTGATGCAAATATATACCTAAGTTAGCTTTGCTTTCACTTCAGGAACAAAACAAAAGAAAAGCAAGGTTTAGAAAAGAAACAGTGCCACCACAAGCTACAGATTCCATTGTTTCTAGAGAAAAATTCATTTACATCAAATATCTGAAGCTGTCAGTGCACACAAAGACTTTGAAAGCATTTGTTTGGAACTAATACTGTACTTTCTATTTATATTCTAATACCTCGTCCACCCCCTTATGATTCTTTGTGAACTTGCTCAAGTTTTGGCTCTACTATACTTTTATTTTTTTCCCCTGAGACACACTTGTAATCTTTACAGACTTGTTCCAAGAGCAAAGAAACAGATCATTAAAGAAAGAATGAAATGTCATTTGATGGTGTGCCTGCTGTTTTCTTTGTGGGGAATCTGTTCCCATAGCCATGTAAAACTGGAGAGGCTGAATGCCATGGAAGTTAAGGACCAGATTAGACCTGGTGAAGGTCAGAAAACACATGTTCTCTGCACCCACTTCCAAGCAGATAATTTCTGAAGCTAAGTGAAGCCTGGCATTTCTAATTGTTTTCAATAAGAATAATCTTTCTGTGACCTGTCTCAGGAGTGATAAATGGTCTCTGAAAATGAAGTCTAATGCAGATAATGGACGTAAAGCTCTCATAAAAGAAATAATAATAAAAATAACATTTTGTAAATCGAAAATAATGAGAAAGAACATCTAACAGAGTGAGTCATTGGCTACTTGAAGTTCTGATGATAATAATAATGTGGAATTAAATACACAAAACTTCTGGAGAATTTCCAAACCTTATAGAAAAAGAAACTATATCAAAGATAGATGGATCAATAATATGAGACATGGCAAGATAAAAGGGGATATAAGAACACATATCTGTTCATTTTTGCAAAGAAATGCTGGAAGGATGAACCAGAAGCTAAAGACATTTTTTTTCTCTACAAAGAGTAAATGAGAAAGTGGTAGAAAAAAAGAGGGAATGGGAATGAGCTGGATGGAGAGTGAGTGACACTTCTCTGAGTGTATCATTTTGTACAGCTCTGACCTTTAGAACCATAATATTACTTCACATTCCAAAATGATAATTAAAACCAATTAGGTTGCAGAGATAACCCCCAAAAGAATATAAGCTGTAGCAAATAAACCTAATTGTATAATTGTATTTCAAGTGAATAATATAACCATACTGAGAACAGGAAAGAAAAAGAACTAACCTACATAACTGAGGCAACAGTATCTTATCTGGGTGCTCTAAGACTAAAGACCAAAAGAACTGTACACAGACACACTGTACTTGAATTAGTAAATGTGTTTCTTAAAGAGATATGGCTTAGCAATTCTAAAACTACCTCACATGTATGCTAGAAATAAACAAATAAGTAAATATTTTGTAGAGGGCTAGGTTTCTCACAAGTGAAGAATGAAGTTAAAAATAAGGATATGGGAAATGAAGAACAAACCCTGTGGTATTAGATTTAAATCAAAGATAGATATCAGTATAAACTCATGGTTTTTTACTTTATATACACAGCTAGATATAGAAATAAATAAAGATGTGTGTCATGCATGGGTTGGCATACATATACTTTGTAGCTCTATCACCTAAGAGTACCTAGAAACAAAAGTACACATATTGCATGTATTTCCTAATTCCGTCCCCTGAATAAACCTAAAAACAGTGACTCTGCATTGCCAGTGAGCACACCTAACACCCAGATCTTGGTTTCTAAACATTATTCTTCAATAAAGAGAACTAGTCTCCTTGGAGAAGTGGATGATTCCTGGACCAAATTGAGAAAGTAAAAGGTAATCCTGGAATAGACATTGGTAACAGAAAGTAAAGAAGTGCCCACAATTGAATGGAGGTTTGTCAAAAACAAAGGGGCCAACCTGAAGGAGTTCCCAATGGACAAACCTGTAACAATATGAGCAAAATATTAAATAAATAAATGAATAAGTAATAATGATGGTACTGGATTATAAAAATAGAATATAACAAGTATATAAGAAATATATAAGAATCCACATTGATATACTTTAGTAATTGTGTAAATAAACACGACTCTTCCCTACAAAAGAATTCCAGTTAATATATGTAAGTAGAATGAGGGAAATACAAAATCACTATTAGGAAAACACCGCAGTAATAACTGTTATAGGCAAGATCCATTGGTAGATGCAATATCACTAGGCAAAAATTTGAAGAGGAACAGGACATTCGCATGGTCTCAAAGTATCTCCACCAAGATATTTATTAAATACAGCAAAAAAATATAACTAACTTTACAACAGAGAAATTAAGCAGACACCAACATAACCAAGCCATCAAGGTTATCACCATCACTCATATACCTAGAAATCCCTAATGACTCGTACAAAAGACTCCTAGATTTGATAAACAAATTCAGTTAAACTCTCAGCTTACAAAATCAACGTACTGTAAGTCAGTAGCACTGCTATACATCAACAATGACCAAGCTAAGAATCAAATCAAGAACTCAATTCCTTTTACAATAGCTGCAAAAATAAAATACCTAGGAATATACTTAACCAAGGAGGTGAAAGATCTCTACAAAGAGAACTACAAAACACTGCTGAAACAAATCATGGGTGACACAAATGGAAACACTTCCCATGCTGATAGCCTGAAAGAATTAATATTGTGAAATATTATGTCTACATATTAAATGCAATTCCTATCAAAATACTAATATCATTTTTCACAGAATTAGAAAAATCCTAAAATTCCTATGGAACCAAAAAAGAGCCCAAATAGCCAAAGCAATCCTAAGCATAAAGAACAAATGAGGCATCACATTACATGATTATTTCTTGATGAGCCACATTACCTGACTTCAAATTATAATACAAGGCTATAGTTACCAAAACAGCATGATACTGGTATAAAAGCAGACCTACAGACAACTTGGAAATAAACCCAAATATTTACAACCAACTGATTTTTGACAAAGCATACAAAAAAAAACTGAAAAGGACAACCTATTTAATAAACAGTGCTAGGAAAATTGGATAGCCACATATAATAGAATGAAACTGGATACCTGTCTTTCACCTTATATAAAAATCAACTCAAGATGATCAAAAACTTAAATCTGAAGGCTGAAGCCCTAAAAATTCAAGAAGATAACCTAGGAGAAACTCTTCTGGACATTGACCCAGGCAAAGAATTCATGACTCAGACCCCAAAAGAAAATGCAACAAAAACAAAAATAAATAAATAGGACCTAATTGAACTGTATGGCCAAAGAAATAATCAGCAGAGAAAGCAGACAACACATAGATTAGGAGAAAATATTTGCAAACTATGCATCTGACAAAGGACTAACATCCAGAATCTACAAGGAACTCAAATCAGCAGGAAGAAGATAAATAATCCCATCAAAAAGTGGGCAAATGAGATGAACAGACATTTCTAAAAAAAAAAAAAAAAGATATACAAATGGCCAACAAACATATGAAAAAAATACTCAATGTCACTAATCATCAGGGAAATGCAAATTAAAACCACAATGAAATGCCACCTTACTCCTGCAAGCATAGCCATTATTAAAAAGTCAAAAAACAACAGATGTTGGTGTGGTTGTGGTGAAAAGGTAATGCTTGTATACTTCTGGTGGTAATGTAAATTAGTACAACCTCTATGAAAAATAGTATGGAGATTTCTGAAAGAACTATAAGCAGAACTACCATTTGATCTAGCAATCCCACTACTGGTATTGACCCAAAGGAAAATAAGTCAGTATGTAAAAAATATACCCGCATATGTATGTCTGTTGGAGCACAATTAACAATTGCAAGGATATGGAACCAAGTTATGTGCCCACCAACTAATGAGTGGATAAAGACATACAGTATGTATACACTATGGAATACTACACAGCCATAAAAAAGAATCAAATAATATCTTTTGCAGCAACTTGGATGGAGCCGAAAGCCATTATTTTAAGAGAAGTAACTCAGGAATAGAAAGCCAAATACCATATGTTCCCACTTATAAGTGGGAGCTAAGCTATGGGTATGCAAAGGCATACAGAATGATATAATGGACTGTGGAGACTTGGGAGAGGGTGGGAATGGGGGTAAGGGATAAAAAACTAGATATTGCATATGATGTATCATACTTTAGTGATGTTTTGATGATGGGTGATATGGTTTGGCTCTGTGTCCCCACTCAAATCTCATGTTGAATTCTAATTCCCAATGTTGGGAGAGGCACCTGGTTGGAGGTGATTGAATTATGCTGGCATATTTCTCCCATGCTGTTCTCATGATAGTGAGTGAGCCTTCATGAGATCTGATGGTTTAAAAGTGTGTGGCACTTCCCTCCTCATTCTGTCTTTCCTGCCACCACGTGAAGAAGGTCCTAGCTGCCCCTTTGCCTTCAGCCATGAGTGTAAGTTTCCTGAGGCCTTCCAGTAATGCTTCCTGTGTGAGTCAATATAACCTCTTTTCTTCATAAATTATCTAGTCTCAGGTAGTTCTTTATCGCAACATGAAAACACACTAATACAGAAAATTGGTATCGGGGAAATGGAGCATTGCTATAAAGGTACCCAAAAATGTGGAAGCAACTTTGGAACTGGGTAATGGGCAGAGGTTGGAACAGTTTGAAGGGCTCAGAAGACAGGAAGATGTGGGAAAGTTTGGAACTTCCTAGATACTTGTTGAATGGTTTTGACCAAAATGATGATAGGGATATGGACAATGAAGTCCAGGCTGAGGTGGTCTCAGATGGAGATGAGGAACTTATTAGGAACTGAAGTAAAGGTCACTCTTGCTATGCTTTAGAAAAGAGGCTGGCAGTATTTTTCCCATACCCTAGAGATTTGTGAAACTTTGAACTTGAGAGAGATGATTTGGAGTATCTGGCAGAAGAAATGGATAAGCAGCAAAGCATTCAAGATGTGACTTGGCTGTTTCTAAAAGCATACACTCATGTGTGAACAAAGAGATGGTCTGAAATTTGAACTTATATTTAAAAGGGAAGCAGAGAGCAAAAGTTTGGAAAATTTGCAGCATAACTATGTGTTGGAATAGACAAGCCCATTTTCTGGAGAGAAATTCAAGCCAGCTGCAGAAATTTGCATAAGTAACAAGAAGCTGAATGTTAATAACCAAGACCATGGGGGAAAATGTCTCCAGGGCATTTCAGGGACCTTCACAGCAGCCCCTCCCATTCCAGGGATGAATGTCTAGGAAGGAAAAATGGTTTTGTGGGCTGTGCCCAGGGCCCCGCTGCTCTGTGCAGCCTTGGAACATGGTGCCTTGCATCCTACCTGCTCTAGCTCCAGCCATGGCTGAAAGAGGCCAATGTACAGCTCAGGTTATGTCTTCAGAGGGTGGCAAGCCCCAAGCCTTGGTGGCTTTTACCCTCTGAAGGGTGGTGTTGTGCCTGTGGGTGCACAGAAGACAGGAGTTGGAGTTTGGGAACCTCAGCCTAAATTTCAGAGGATGTATGGAAACACCTGGATGTCCAGGCAGAAGTCCACTGCAGGGGCAGAGCCCTCAAGGAGAACCTCTTATTAGTATACTGTGGAGGTGAAATGTGGGTTTGGAGCCCCCACTCAGAATCCCCACTGGGACACTGCCTGGTGGAGCTGTGAGAAAAGGGCCACTGTCCTCCAGACCCCAGGATGGTAGATCTACCAACAGCTCGCACTGTGTCATTGGAAAAGCCATAGGCACTCCATGTTAGCCTGTGAAAGCAGCTGCAGGGGCTGTCCATCTAGAACCACAAAGGCACAGCTGCCCGAGGCCTTGGGAGCCCACCCTTTGCATCAGCATGCTCTGGTTGTGAGACGTGGAGTCAAAGGAGATTATTTTGGAGCTTTAAGATGTAATGGCTGCCCTGCTGGGTTTTTGACTAGCATGGGCCCATAGCCCCTTTATTTTGGCCAATTTCTCCCATTTGGAACAGGATCACTTACCTGGTGCCTTTACCCTCATTGTATCTTGGAAATAATACTCTTGTTTTTTATTTTACAGACTCATAGGTGAAAGAGACTTGCTTTGTCTCAGATGAGACTATGGGCTTGGACTCTTGGGTTAATTCTGGAATTAGTTAAGACTTTGAAGGGCTATTGGGAAAGCATGGTTGTGTTTTGAAATGTGAGTGGGAATTGAGATTTGGGAGGAACCAGGGGTGGAATGATACATTTTAGCTCTGTGTCCCCACCCAAATCTCATGTTAAATTTTAATTCCCAATGTTGGGGAGGGACCTGGTGGGAGGTGATTGGATCATAGGGGCGAATATCCTCCCAGGCTGTTCTCATAATAGTGAGTGATTTCTCACGAGATCTGATGGTTTAAAATTGTGTGGCACTTCCCCCCTCACTCTCTCTTTCTCTGCTGCCACCATGTGAAGAAGGTCCTTGCTTCCCCTTCACTTTCTGCCACGATTGTAAGTTTACTGAGGCCCCCAGTCATGCTTCCTGTTAAGTCTGCAGAACTGTCAGTCAATTAAGCCTCTTTTCTTCATGAATTACTCAGTCTTGGGTAGTTATTTATAGTAGTGTGAAAATGGACCAGTACAATGGGTGCAATGTGTGCAGTAACATCTCAGACTTTAGCACTATACAATTCATCCATGTAACCAAAACCCACTTGTACCTCAAAAGCTATTGAAATAAAAAACTTTTTAAGGTTAGCATCATCACTAACGAGACATATCAACATCAAGAACCCCTGATATAATACATTGATAAGGATGGCATTTGGGGTGAGATTTTTTTTTTTTCGCCGAAAAGTGTATAACCTGAATTTAATTATGAGATAACAGCAGACAAACCCAACTTGAGAGACATTTTATAATATAATTTTCAAGGAAAGACTAAGACTAGAGAGAACTAGGGAGACAAGATGACTAAACGCAGTGTGAAATTCTCGATTGGATTCTGAATTTGGAAAAGAACATTAGTGGCTCAATTAGTAAAATTCAATTTAGGTCTCTAGTTTAATTAATAAAATTGTACCCATCTGAAGTTCCTTCTTTTGATACTGGTACTACCATTAACTAGGATGATTAGTGGATGCTGGATGAAAAGTTATATAAGAACATTCTGTACTCTTTTGTGACTTTTCTGTAAATTTAAAATTATTTTAAAACAAAAAGTTGAAGAAAAAACAAACCAAAATACCAAAGATGTCAAATGAGTAGGAAAAAATATAAAAATAAAATAGTGCCTAGAATTAGATCCTTGAAATAGAGAACATGAGGGTGGCAGAGGAAAATGAACTTTACTTCTGAAAGACATAACTAAAAATGTCTGTGCTACTGTTTAAGTCAACTGTAGAAAATCATTCCATCACTTTTTAATTTTACTGTTTGGTTATTTAAGAATAACTTAGTGTCTTGACTAAATCTTTACTTGGATTAATTTATCTCTTGATTTCTACTATAATCAACAGTAGGAAGTAAGAAGATACTTTAAGGAAGTAGATTGCTTTTCAAGCAAAGTACTGGGCTTCTTCAAGGGAAAAATCCGCAGTTTCATGCTCCAGTTGTTATAACATGTAGACAAGGAATTCTAAACTTGCAAACAAATTTAGAAAAAAAAAGCAAATAAAAACTCTCAATAAATTAGGTATTGATGGGACGTATCTCAAAATAATAAGAGCTATCTATGACAAACCCACAGCCAATATCATACTGAATGGACAAAAACTGGAAGCATTCCCTTTGAAAACTGGCACAGGACAGGGATGCCCTCTCTCACCACTCCTATTCAACATAATGATGGAAGTTCTGGCCAGGGCAATTAGGCAGGAGAAGGAAATAAAGGGTATTCAATTAGGAAAAGAGGAAGTCAAATTGTCCCTGTTTGCAGATGACATGACTGTATATCTAGAAAACACCATTGTCTCAGCCCAAAATCTCCTTAAGCTGATAAGCAACTTCAGCAAAGTCTCAGGATACAAAATCAATGTACAAAAATCACAAGCATTCTTATACACCAATAACAGACAAACAGAGAGCCAAATCATGAGTGAACTCCCATTCACAATTGCTTCAAAGAGAATAAAATACGTAGGAATCCAACTTACCAGGGATGTGAAGGACCTCTTCAAGGAGAACTACAAACCACTGCTCAATGAAATAAAAGGGGATACAAAGAAATGGAAGAACATTCCATGCTCATGGGTAGGAAGAATCAATATTGTGAAAATGGCCATACTGCCAAAGGTAATTTACAGATTCAATGCCATCCCCATCAAGCTACCAATGACTTTCTTCACAGAATTGGAAAAAACTACTTTAAAGTTCATATGGAACCAAAAAAGAGCCTGCATCGCCAAGTCAATCCTAAGCCAAAAGAACAAAGCTGGAGGCATCACGCTACCTGACTTCAAACTATACTACAAGTCTACAGTAACCAAAACAGCATGGTACTGGTACCAAAACAGAGATATAGATCAATGGAACAGAACAGAGCCTTCAGAAATAACGCCACATACCTACAGCTATCTGATCTTTGACAAACCTGAGAAAAACAAGCAATGGGGAATGGATTCCCTATTTAATAAATGGTGCTGGGAAATATGTAGCTAGCCATATGTAGAAAGCTGAAATTGGATCCCTTCCTTACACCTTATACAAAAATTAATTCAAGATGGATTAAAGACTTAAACGTTACACCTAAAACCATAAAAACCCTAGACGAAAACCTAGGCATTACCATTCAGGACATAGGCATGAGCAAGGACTTCATGTCTAAAACAGCAAAAGCAATGGCAACAAAAGCCAAAATTGACAAATGGGATCTAATTAAACTAAAGAGCTTCTGCACAGCAAAAGAAACTACCATCAGAGTGAACAGGCAACCCACAAAATGGTAGAAAATTTTCACAACCTACTCATCTGACAAAGGGCTAATATCCAGAATCTACAATGAACTCAAACAAATTTACAAGAAAAAAACAAACAACCCCATCAAAAAATGGGTGAAGGACATGAACAGACACTTCTCAAAAGAAGACATTTATGCAGCCAAAAAACACATGAAAAAATGCTCACCATCACTGGCCATCAGAGAAATGCAAATCAAAACCACAATGAGATACCATCTCACACCAGTTAGAATGGCCATCATTAAAAAGTCAGGAAACAACAGGTGCTGGAGAGGGTGTGGAGAAACAGGAACATTTTACACTGTTGGTGGGACTGTAAACTAGTTCAACCATTGTGGAAGTCAGTGTGGCGATTCCTCAGGGATCTAGAACTAGAAATACCATTTGACCCAGCCATCCCATTACTGGGTATATACCCAAAGGACTATAAATCATGCTGCTATAAAGATACATGCACACATATGTTTATTGCTGCACTATTCACAATAGCAAAGACTTGGAACCAACCCAAATGTCCAACAATGATAGACTGGTTTAAGAAAATGTGGCACATATACACCATGGAATACTATGCAGCCATAAAAAATGATGAGTTCATGTCCTTTATAGGGACATGGATGAAATTGGAAATCATCATTCTCAGTAAACTATCACAAGGACAAAAAACCAAACACCGCATGTTCTCACTCATAGGTGGGAATTGAGCAATGAGAGCACATGGACACAGGAAGGGGAACATCACACTCTGGGTACTGTTGTGGGGTGGGGGGAGGGGGGAGGGATAGCATTAGGAGATATACCTAATGCTAAATGACGAGGTGATGGGTGCAGCACAACAGCATGGCACATGTATACATATGTAACTAACCTGCACATTGTGCACATGTACCCTAAAACTTAAAGTATAATAATAATAATAAAAGAAAAGAAAAAAGAAAAAGCAAATTAGAGTTTTTACTTCTTGAACCATTGTTTCTGTCCAAGGAGTTTTGAGGTTTCAGGATATTCAGTTGATATTGGAGATAAGATCAATCATTTATTTAATGAATAATATTCATTAAATTTATGTTACTTAGTATTTCATATATTCCCAAGATGTTATAGAAAAGTATACATAGCCTTGGAGAAGGGAGAAAAATAACAGAATATCATATGTTTTTTCTTAAATCTTTTATCACTGTGTAAGAAATATAAAGTTATGGGAAGTAACTAATAATATCAAATTTTCTCAGCAGTTAAGGGTGGGTAGAAAACAACAT
This sequence comes from Homo sapiens, assembly GCF_000001405.40. Taxonomy (NCBI): domain Eukaryota; kingdom Metazoa; phylum Chordata; class Mammalia; order Primates; family Hominidae; genus Homo; species Homo sapiens. The sequence goes on along the minus strand of NC_000015.10, from coordinate 37,384,970 downwards.
GGGATGTGGTCACCATAGTGACCTTACACAATAATGGCAGAAACATTTTCTTGATTTCTCTAAGAGGCCTTCTACTTTCCAGATCTTCCTGCCATGGTTGCTGATGACTGAATGGCTTTACTAAGGAACAATATTCATTTCATAATTATCACAAATCAGAAAAAATAAACAATGTATTTAAATTATACCAAAGAATACATGACTAATAGGAGACCCTATTTTCCAAGTTAACCATGAATGTAAGAGAGATCCAAAAGATAACATGTATATTATCTCTTAAAATATTGATTTTTTCTTTAAAATCTTCTCTGATAAAATGAGAAAAAGATGAGGAAAATAACAATAATAAGTTCATCTTTACTGAATTTTTACTCAGTTACCAGGCATTGTTCTAAGTACTTTTAGGCATTAATTCATTTAATCACCAAATAATGCAAGAGATAGGTACCTTTATTATCCCCATTTTGCAGATGAGTAAACTGAGGAAAGGAGAACCAATAAAACTGGGATACAATAAAACTGGGATACAAGGAAAGCCAATAAAACTGGGATACAAAATTGGGGTACTTACTGCCTTGAAGAAGGTCAAAATAATGCCTTTATTCCTGAAAGTGGAAGTATTGTCAGCAGCCTAAGAGTTGTCATTTTTATTATTTTGAAATAGCATATTTCCAAATGCATGTGCTTGTTGTAGAGGTATGTTAAATTCTCTAGAATGCACTGGTAAATCAATGATTATTGAGGAACTCGTGTCACTGATAGTATAATCCCAGTGTAATCCTTTCAATCATGGGCCTTACCTCTAAAATAATATAACAACTGATATGCTAGGAAAGATTATTGGAGAAAAGGACAAATAACGTGCATAGGAGAGGTCAGAGCTATGTTTTATAGCAACCATATAACTTTCTAGGGCGCATGCTTCTGTGAGCTAGGAAGTCTAATTTCTTTTACACTAATGTATCATAGATTTTTTTTTAAGTTTTGAATGCATCATATCTATTAGTACAAGAAGAAAAAGAATAGAAACAAGGTAAATGTAACCATCTAAAATCTTGTAATAATATATACAGCATATTGGTTAACTAAACACTAAACAGAAGGAGCAGTGAATACAGAAGCAAAGCAAGCTAAAAAAGAGCAAGACCAACCAACAATTCAAAATGGCTAGAAAGCTAGAACTAGGCATGGGAGAGTTAGATGAGACTGAAAGGGGTCTGCAGGAGACTGATCCTAAGGGGTTAACATGCTATGAAAAGGGGTCTAAATGTCTGTGTGTGTGTGTGTGTGTGTGTGTGTGTGTGTGTGTTTGTGTGTTGTGAACAAGGAGGAACCATCAAAGAATTTTAAAACAAGTGTTGCCAAGTTTCTATCTCAGTTAAGTTGAAGCTTTAGTATGAAGAACAGAGTAAAGGTATGGAAGCATGGAGTTGGGTAAAGAGTTCACCCTAATAGGAAATGATGGTATACTTCTGAGGGATTGGGGTGAACAGAGTGCTATATAATCAGGTAAATATTGAACATTGTAAACTTTGGGGGAAAGCCAATAATTATAGAACAGACTAAGGAAGAATAATCTTATGAAGGAGTTTGGGAGGGGAGAAAAAAAGATGAAAATGACAGGAGGATAACCAAGAGAGAATCACTCCAGGCACAACAAGCCAGTGGTTTGGGTTTTAACCTTCATGTAGGAACAATGGATGATGACTTGAGCCTACATAGTATATGGAATCAGAGCTGAGATCCTACAAGCTGCGAGGCTCTAGAAAGGCCATGGATAAAATCATTGGCATTAATAACTGACAAAAGCAAAAAGTGTCTCAGGAGAAATGGGCCTTCTACCCCACAAGCAAAAGACCATAGGTCTACTTTGCTGAAGATAATCTTAAGTTTATAATCCATAATGTACACATGCACACATACATACAAATAGAAACAAAAAGCCAACATGAGAAAGCAGAAGCAAACTGATTTTTCAGGAAGATTGTGGACCCCTAGAATTCATAATGATAGAACTATCAGATTTTTTCTAAAGGAGAGCAAAAATAATAAAACACACATATATATACATATATACACACACATTGGATATATATGTATGTATAATTTATACATATATACACTTATGGGTCTGAATATATATTCATATATATGATAAATATATTCATAGCTATTACTTTAACTTAAAAGTCTATAAAAAAATTCATTCCTAAAAATCTTAACATAGATGAAATACTATAAAGAACAATGGTACCTATTTTGGATGTGTGGTAGAATGGGTTATGACAATGGCTTTCACAGTTAATTGTTCATATATACCATAAACATTTTAGTTAATTCTGGAAACCAAACTTAGAATTAAGGGAGGGCCTGTGAGATCACAGCGACTTCTTTCATTAAACAGATGAATAATCTCAGGGAAGCCACGATACTGTTCCAGGTGCACAGCCTTGGATTTCCAATCTAGTTTCCTAGAAGATGAGTGATAGTGATCACATGTATTCTCACAGTTTCATATACAACAAAGCTTCAAATGTGTCCCAGAGATTCTGGTATGTTGTCTGTTTGTTCCCATTGGTTTCAAAGAACATCTTTATTTCTGCCTTCATTTTGTTATGTACCCAGTAGTCACTCAGGAGCAGGTTTTCAGTTTCCATGTAGTTGAGCAGTTTTGAGTGAGTTTCTTAATCCTGAGTTCTAGTTTGATTGCACTGTGGTCTGAGAGACACTTTGCTATAATTTCTGATCTTTTACATTTGCTGAGGAGTGCTTTACTTCCAACTATGTGGTCAATTTTGGAATAAGTGCGATGTGGTGCTGAGAAGAATGTATATTCTTGTTGATTTGGGTGGAGAGTTCTGTCGATATCTATTAGGTCTGCTTGGTGCAGAGCTGAGTTCAATTTCTGGATATCCTTGTTAACTTTCTGTCTCGATCTGTTGAATGCTGACAGTGGGGTGTTAAAGTCTCCCATTATTGTGTGGGAGTCTAAGTCTCTTTGTAAGTCTCTAAGGACTTGCTTTATGAATCTGGGTGCTCCTGTATTGGGTGCATATATATTTAGGATAGTTAGCTCTTGTTGAATTGATCCCTTTACCATTAGGTAATGGCCTTCTTTGTCCCTTTTGATCTTTGTTGGTTTAAAGTCTGTTTTATCAGAGACGAGGATTGCAACTCCTGCCTTTTTTTGTTTTCCATTTGCTTGGTAGATCTTCCTCCATCCCTTTATTTTGAGCCTATGTGTGTCTCTGCACATGAGATGTGTCTCCTGAATACAGCACACTGATGGGTCTTGACTCTTTGTCCAGTTTGCCAGTCTGTGTCTTTTAAACACCCACAAGAGAAAGCAGGAAGTATCTAAAATTGACACCCTAACATCACAATTAAAAGAACTAGAGAAACAAGAGCAAACACATTCAAAAGCTAGCAGAAGGCAAGCAATAACTAAAATCAGAGCAGAACTGAAGAAGATAGAGACACAAAAAACCCTTCAAAAAATCAATGAATCCAGGAGCTGGTTTTTTGAAAAGATCAACAAAATTGATAGACTGCTAGCAAGACTAATAAAGAAGAAAAGAGAGAAGAATCAAGTAGACGCAAAAAATGATAAAGGGGATATCACTACCGATCCCACAGAAATACAAACTACCATCAGAAAACACTATAAACGCCTCCACACAAATAAACTAGAAAATCTAGAAGAAATGGATTAATTCCTGGATACATACACCCTCCCAAGGGTAAAGCAGGAAGAAGTTGAATCTCTGAATAGACCAATAACAGGCTCTGAAATTGAAGTAATAATTAATTAATAGGATACCACCCAAAAAATGTCCAGGATCAGATGGATTCACAGCCGAATTCTACGAGCGGTACAAACAGGAGCTGGTACCATTCCTTCTGAAACTATTCCAATCAACAGTAAAAGAAGGAATCCTCCCTAACTCATTTTATGAGGCCAGCATCATCCTGATACCAAAGACTGGCAGAGACACAACCAAAAAAGAGAATTTTAGACCAATATCCCTGATGAACGTCAATGTGAAGATCCTCAATAAAATACTGGCAAACCGAATCCAGCAGCACATCAAAAACCTTATCGACTAAGATCAAGTTGGCTTCATCCCTGGGATGCAAGGCTGGTTCAACATACACAAATGAATAAACATAATCCATCACATAAACGGAACGAAAGACAAAAACCACATGATTATCTCAATAGATGCAGAAAAGGCCTTTGACAAAATTCAACAGCCCTTCATGCTAAAAACTCTTAATAAATTAGGTATTGATGGGACGTATCTCAAAATAATAAGAGCTATCTATGACAAACCCACAGCCAATATCATACTGAATGGGCAAAAACTGGAAACATTCCCTTTGAAAACTGGCACAAGACAGGGATGCCCTCTCTCACCACTCCTATTCAACATAGTGTTGGAAGTTCTGGCCAGGGCAATCAGACAAGAGAAAGAAAGAAAGGGTATTCAATTAGGAACAGAGGAAGTCAAATTGTCCCTGTTTGGAGACGACATGATTGTATATCTAGAAAACCCCATTGTCTCAGCCCAAAATCTCCTTAAGTTGTATCCTGAGACTTAAGCAAAGTCTCAGGATACAACATCAATGTGCAAAAATCACAAGCATTCTTATACACCAATAACAGACAAACAGCCAAGTCATGAGTGAACTCCCATTCACAATTGCTTCAAAGAGAATAAAATACCTAGGAATCCAACTTAAAGGGACTTGAAGGACCTCTTCAAGGAGAACTACAAACCACTGCTCAATGAAATAAAAGAGGACACAAACAAATGAAAGAACATTCGGAAGAATCAATGTTGTGAAAATGGCCATACTGCCCAAGGTAATTTATAGATTCAATGCCATCCCCATCAAACTACCAATGACTTTCTTCACAGAATTGGAAAAAACTACTTTAAAGTTCATATGAAACCAAAAAAGAGCCTGCATTGCCAAGTCAATCCTAAGCCAAAAGAACAAAGCTGGAGGCCTCACGCTACCTGACTTCAAACTATACTACAAGGCTACAGTAACCAAAACAGCATGGTACTGGTACCAAAACAGTGATATAGACCAATGGAACAGAACAGAGCCCTCAGAAATAATACCACACATCTACAACCATCTGATCTTTGACAAACCTGACAAAAACAAGAAATGGGGAAAGGATTCCCTATTTAATAAATGGTGCTGGGAAAACTGACTAGCCATATGTAGAAAGCTGAAACTAGATCCCTTCCTTACACCTTATACAAAAGTTAATTCAAGTTGGATTAAAGACTTAAATGTTAGACCTAAAACCTTAAAAACCCTAGAAGAAAACCTAGGCATTACCATTCAGGACATAGGCATGGGCAAGGACTTTATGTCTAAAACACCAAAAACAATGGCAACAAAAGCCAAAATTGATAAATGGGATCTAATTAAACTGAAGAGCTTCTGCAAAGCAAAAGAAACTACCATCAGAGTGAACAGGCAACCTACAGAATGGGAGAAAATTTTTGCAACCTACTCATCTGACAAAGGGCTAATATCCAGAATCTACAATGAACTCAAACAAATTTACAAGAAAAAAACAACCCCATCAAAAAGTGGGCGAAGGATATAAACAGACACTTCTCAAAAGAAGACATTTATGCAGCCAAAAGACACGTGAAAAAATGCTCATCATCACTGGTCATCAGAGAAATGCAAATCAAATCCACAATGAGATACCATCTCACACCAGTTAGAATGGCCATCATTAAAAACTCAGGAAACAACAGGTGCTGGAGAGGATGTGGAGAAATAGGAACACTTTTACGCTGTTGATGGGACTGTAAACTAGTTCACCCATTGTGGAAGAGAGTGTGGTGATTCCTCAGGGATCTAGAACTAGAAATACCATTTGAGCCAGCCATCCCATTACTGGGTATATACCCAAAGGATTATAAATCATGCTGCTATAAAGACACATGCACACGTATGTTTATTGCGGCACTATTCACAATAGCAAAGACTTGGAACCAACCCAAATGTCCAACAATGATAGACTGGTTTAAGAAAATGTGGCACATATACACCATGGAATACTATGAAGCCATAAAAAAGGATGAGTTCATGTCCTTTGTAGGGATATGGATGAAGCTGGAAACCATCAATCTCAGCAAACTATCGCAAGGACAGGAAACCAAATGCCGCATGTTCTCACTCATAGGTGGGAATTGAACAATGAGAAATCTTGGACACAGGAAGGGGAACATCACACACCAGGGCCTGTCGTGGGGTGGGGGGAAGGGGGAGGGATAGCATTAGGAGATATATCTAATGTAAATGACGAGTTAATGGGTGCAACATACCAACATGGCACAAGTATACATACGTAACAAACCTGCATGTTGTGCACATGTACCCTAGAACTTAGTGTCATAATAAAAAAAAAGGCGCTTGAACATAGCTTAGTGAGGCAGCGTGCTCAAATTCTCAAAGAGGGCACTGGGGTTGCAATTAGAAAGCCCCCTTTCCACATCCCATTTGCTAACAGCACCTTTGTATCCATAGCTTCCTTACTCCTCCCAGCTTTGTAGGAAAAAAGAAAAGTCCATTTGCCCATGAGGAAACTAAGTACCTAGCACAATGATTGACACCTAGTAATAACTATTAGCTGAATATAAGTTTAAACAGAGGGTGATGGACGTTACATCACAAATAAGCTCTCAGGCAATGCAGGATTCAGTAACCAAGGATTTGTGAAGTTCACGTCGTGAGAATGACTCGTGAATAATTAAAACAATAAATCAGTTATTTAGGGAAGAGGAGTGTGATTCAAATTTTATAAATCAGCTGCTTATGTGTCTCTTGTACCTCAGTCTCTTTCACCCCTGACTTCCCATCAGCCTTTGGCTATACTTGCTTTCCAACCTTATTTCTACATCTCTACATGAGAGCCTTTACTCTCTTCAAAGCAACAATGAAGTCGAATCCTAACTGCATGTACTGCACATTCTTAGTGCTTGTCATTGTTTATGTTTCCTTAACAACCTTTTGACTTGCCTTTCCATTTTTACCATCATTTCTTGATAGTAATAGGAACTTAGATAAAGTTCCTTTGTTCCATTGTTTGCTATTTCAAATTCCATTGTTTTGCTATAATCTTAAAAGAGGTACATGATCTCTAAAGACTTGCAATGATAATGTTTTGACATTGTAATTTAACATGGCAATGTGGTCTCAATAATCTTTCAGCGACATTGTTTTACCACTGTCTTGACATTGTAAAATGGTCTCTCCAGACTTACATTTTGCCATCGCCTTGACATTGTAATATGGTCTCTATAGATTTGCATTGAAATTTGTTTTGTCATTGTCTTGATATCATAATGTCCTCTCCATGGACTTCTCTTCACATATATCATCCTCTCCAAAGACTTGCATATCAGCCCCATTACAAGAGCAATGTGACTGTTCACTTCCCATTCAGCTGAACTGGGAATGATCTTTCATGGTTTCTACTTAACAGTAAGTATCACATCTCATCAATAACTATTTTCAAACTCTTTTATCTCAACTCTTCCCAAATCTCATTCCTGATGCAGGGTTTTTACCAAGAAGCAAAGTGGACAAATTCCCATTAGATAAAATCTGCCTGCACATTTTTCATTTTTAATATTAAACTCACTCACTTTAAAAGCATTAAAGTGGAGCAGATCATGAGGGAGTTTGCATCTCTCTAACCCATAATAGGAAACTATTTCATAGAATCGATCCAAACTAGAACAATAGCACAGTAGAGTAGTACATTAGAAAGAGAAAATACTGATACCTTCTCTACTTACAAAATACCTTTGTACATTCTATTCCCCTTTTTAATTTCATCACTTTCTAATGCTTACTCTTCAATCAGTGTCTCTGCATACATCATTTTTCCCCATTCTTACATACCCTAAAATCACTAGGTATGTTTAATACCTATATTGTCATCCCCTCTTCCACATACACACCTCAACTGAATTATTTGGTTTTTACAAAGTGCAAGTGTAAATAAAAGCAAGCCCATTTAATGGGATCATGAGTTTCCTCCAGAACAATGAAATATTTTATCTGAGCCCTTTGGGGAAAAGTAAGGAAATGAAAAGGCTGCATTCCTAGAATGCAGCCTCTGCTGGCTGAATGGTCACCCATCCCCATCACTGGAGCACTAGGAGCAAACTTACAACATTTAGTGAATTCTAACACAGTACCAAGTACTTTATGTGCACAATTTCGGCACTACATACCCATAAACTCTGTAAATTCCCCTTGTCATTATCCCTCTTCAGGGACTTAGAGAGCCGGAATTACTTGCTAAGGTAACACAGCTATTACGTGCTAGCAGAGAGATTTAAACCCAGTTCATTTGGACACCTGACAAGAGGTTCTTAATTCAAAGAACATTGAAAGGGGAAGTATTATATCTTAATTTCACCAGCTTCTAACTGAGATGTATTATTTCTTTCAATTATAAAGAGAGGCAGTAAAGCACAGTGGTATTCACAGTACCTGAGACTTTGGAACCAAGAGAAAGCACGGAGACTTTCATATCACACCACATGTCGCTGCAGGTATCTCAAAATGGTATCTATGCTTATCACGACTGCAAAATTGCAATCGTTATTAGACCTTCCTCTAGAACTAGTTATTTAATGTCTTAAGGATGCACATATATAACTATATCATAATTTGATTTTTCTGTGTTTTGATAACTGTAGCTATCCTTCAGTATAATTGGTTTGGTGTCATAATTTCCTTCCATGATTTTTGCCATGTCCACATACCACCTATATTTTATTTACATCATGTTTTTCTTCAGCCAATACATGTTTTACTTAACAAATTCTTTACAGGGGAAAATTATTCTTTCCTCTGATTATAAAACTATTCATATTTTTAAAACACTAAAATAAATATGCAACTATTAAAATTTTAATAAGAAGAATCTGTAGCTCACACTTCACATTTTGAGAAATGCTATACTAAGGCATAAAATGTCAGGTCTGGCACCGTCCCGGCAAAGGCTTCCTGCTTTGCTAAAAGATCAGTCATCACAGAATATCAGGAGGTTTCTCAAGGGCTGTTCTGTGAGTGCAAAGCTGCTTCACACAGAGCTCAGAGTAGCTCTCGCTGTAGGGATAGGCTGCAGGAAGCAGTCCCCCTATGAGGCAGAAAGAACCGGGCTTTGAAGTCATACTGTGCTGTAGATTCTTCTCTGTCATCTGCTAGCTGTGCAGTCTTGGCTAACTCACTCAGCCCTAGCTGATTTACCCCATCTACAGGATTCCAGAAAAGAGTACATCAGATGCAATAGGAGGTGCCTGATCCCGATGAGGTGCTCACTGAATGCTTGTTCTCTTCTCCACTCCCACTTCCCACCATTTTTTCTCTTGGTTAGAAGGACAAAGAGAAGTCTGAAAACTGAAAAAAAAGGTGGAAATGATTTCGTGATGTGGTTTCACAGTATTGTTTCTGACAGGTAAAAGCTCAGCTTTGAAAGGAGTCAAAGGTGGTGGGAAATGCACCTGATTCCGAAAATCTGGATTCCCGCATCTACACAATACCAAGTGACCTCAGGCCAATGAACATCCCTGAGTATTAGATCTTCTTCTCTATATATATTGGAGTGATTATAATGTACATCACTGATTTATTGTCATACTTGCAAGAGTACTTTGTAACTGATGTCGACATCATAGTGGAAAATCTGGCATTTATCTATCTGGCTCACAGGCTTCTGAGCTTATTTTTAACTTTTCTAGATGTCTCAAAGTCATCACTATGAGCATCATTATTTTACTAAACGGTGAGGCAAATTGTTTCTACCGTTTTTGTCTCTTTTCTATAATTCTGGAATATCAGCTAGCCTACCTGCTCTATATTTATTACTGTATTTATATATTCAACAAAATATATTGATCATCTACAAAGTACAAGACCATACTGAAGGCAATATAGCTGATAGAAAGACCCAATACTTATACAGCACTCAGTATATGCCGAAGACTATTCAAAGTATTTTATGATATATTAACACATTCAATCCTTACATGAATTCATGAATCCTATGTGAATTCTATGATTTCTAATTTGCCAACAAGGAAACTAAAACACAGAGAGGTTAGGTGACTTGCCCTAGGTGACTTGCCCAACACCACACAGCTAGTAGCTGACAGAGCTAGTAATCATACTGATGCTGCCTATCTCCAGAGTCTCTGTTCTAATCACTATATTTTGCTCCCTCTCTAGACAGACAAGATGTACATATCTTCCTTCAGGGAGCTTTTGTGAAATGAGTGCATCCCAACAATAGTAACAAAATAAAAATTTGCAGTTTCCTGAGCATTTTTTAAACAGTGTTTCAATAGTGTTTCCTTTGATTTAATCAATGGTTCTAAAGATAGACAGGGAAGATATTAGTATCTTCATTCTATAGATAAGAAAACTTTGAATTAGTTGTTAAATGCTGTAAAAGATATCAAGAATTGAGAAGCAAGGATGTCAACTTGAAATTTTATTAGTACTAAAACATTATTTCATGGTCATTTCATGGATGTTACCTTCTAGTATAATTCTACAGAGGGCTATTATAAAGGTCAAATGGATAAGAAAACACTTTGTAAATTCCAGTGAACTATATATTACCTACAAGAAATGGTAATAGTAGTATTAGTAGCAGTAGTAATAGTAGCATCATTTTCAGTGCCCAGAGAAATCTGACTCTCCATACAGGATCAGACTAATAATCTAGGGCTGTCATTGTCACAATAACTTCAAATCCCAAAGATCTATTCAGGCCTTAAACCCACAGACACTGTACAACGAGAACTTTCTGCTAACATTACATTGTAAAATGGCACAAACCAACAAATGTGGGCTTTCTTTCTCAAGGATGGGAGTCTGAATTCCAAACCCAACCCTGCAGTCCAGTGAAAACTGAGTCAGCTGCAAAACTCTGCCCTTAGTATCTTCATCTGTAAAAAGCTGGTGGAAGTAACAATCAAGATTCCTCCTGAACTTTTCTATTTGTAGTTGTCTGTCCTTCTTGCACTCTCCACCCCTTACCTCCCGTATCCAGCGTCTATTTCTAATCCCATCCTCTTTGCACTCCCTAGGCCACAAGCTTCCAATTAATATCCACTTTATGAATGTAATTTGTCAGTCTGCATTTGGTGATAAAGGGAATACAATTTTTCTTGGGAATAATGACTATTTATCCAATGATTTTAGAAATCAGGGCAATGGGCTAATATTTTCACCTAACATACTGTGTCTGTATATTACAATGTTATTAGAGAGATCCTGGTTTCACCAAATTCAAGTCACTATTATGTGTGGTCAAGACTGGAAACATTGGCAAAACTGCACAAAGTTTCTTTTATGATGAGAGTTCTCTTTGATTCAAACTTGTGTGGGGAAAAATTCATGGGCTCCATCCATTTCGTGAAGTAGAAAGAGCTTGGGCTTTGGAGTCTGACAAGTCTGAAATCTGAGTCTCAATGTATTCATCTGTAAAGTGGAAGAATCCAATCTGCCTCACAAGGTTATTCAGGAGATAAATGAAATAATGTGAGAGAATCCCTTGGCACATGTATTATAATAGATGTGTTATAATAAGTGCTCAGCCCATGTTAATTTCTCCCTGTCCTACTCCTGCTCTGATTTTGCCCACATTTGAAGCCTATGCTCAAAAGATTTAGAATTCAGTACATCCTGTTTAAGTGGATATTGTCAAATAGGAGCAAGTCTTGTTTTAGTATTTTGCAAATAACTATAATGTTAAACAGCAACAATCACTTAAAAGTTGAAAAGCAATTGATTTGCCTTGTTAAAAAAAAATCACCAAAAGTTTATCCGCTTGTAAATGTCTGTTCCCAGGTACCTCACTTCTGTTAGGACATGAGAAGGAAAATTACTGCCCCCAGCACCTGTTACAACTTCTGCAACATAAATCACCAACAGACTTTTTAAGGCTATTAGTTGTAATGACACCAGTTTTGTGCAAACACATTACAGTTTTTCTTGACACTTTCATATTTCTTATTTTTCAAATTAAAAAGGGGTATTTAGATTAGATTCCAATGCTAGGCTTGCCATTAATTTGTAAGTCTTAGAAATGGGCAACATTTAATGAGAAAAAACTAAAACCAATTGTCCATTCAGTATATAACATTAATCGATTAGGGATGACTCAGAAGCACAGCCTTGTAAGTAATAAGAGCTCATGTAGTTCATGCAAAAATAAAATAAGTGTTGAGTGATAGAAATAGCTTCTAAAAATAATCGTGTAATAGAAAAAGAAGCTCCGTGTGTCATAGCTAAAGTTTAACATTTGGTTTTCATTCTGCACTATTCAGTTTTACATGCGTGGAATTCCCAGTAATATCGACATAGAGAGCAAAGTATCAGTCAAAGTCCACCAGACAGATGTGAAAATTGAATTTTTCCAGTAGGTTATAATGTAAAAGGAAATAACTGGTACATTGCTGGGTTAGATACTGGAGAGGGAACATTGCATGAATTTGAGGGGTGCAACTATAGCAACGTGGGAAATTGTGATTATAAAAATCTGAGGAAGAACTCCACTGATACGGATGAGCAACGGCAAAGGAATTTTCCTCTAATGATTCAGATGTTTGAGACTAAAATATATGTAAGAGATAAGTGAGTCTTTCACCCACACTACCCCGTAGGTAACAACGCCCAAGCAGAGAAGGCATCTGTGATTACAGAACACAGCCCTGCCCTGCAAGCACAGACTGCTCTGCCATAAAACACAAGCCGTGTTGCTTTGATAAGAAAGACACTGACCTTAGGAGCTTCACTTACTTATTCTCTGGGGGAATAAACATGATTAAAATCTCATCCTAAAATTTCTTACAATTTCCTATGTGTTATAAGACATGTACATAAATAACTCTAATAGAATAGAGAGTGGTCATGGTGATTTAGGAAACAAATAGTAATAATCAATATTTGCATAGCCACAGACTACTAATACTTTTCAGATTGCTTTCACATATATCATCTCATTGAACCGCCTCACAATGCCATGATGTGGAGATTGTTAATGTTATCCCCAATTCTATAGATACACTCATTAGAGTTTGATTTAGGAAATTGTCCATAATCACACAATGGGTAGATGACCTTGTGGGCCATATGCCAACTCTGCTTGTAGTTGTTTTACTTCTCATTTTGCTTTTGAAAGCTCCACATTATCACTCACATTAACATATACTTGCAGAGTTTACAAAAGTTTTTTTTTCCTGTTTTCTCTCAATTATGCAATTACTCTATGAAGTACATATTTTTCCCATTATTTTACCGAGAAGAGATATCCAAAATGGAAGGACCATATCAGCCAGAGAATATAATAGATCAGAAAGCCCAACAAAGCAGGAGTGTGGGATGTATTTGAATATAAAATAAAATAAGGTTGGAAAAACAAAAATTGACAAGTGGGACCCAATTAAACTAAAGAACTGCTGCACAGCAAAAGAAATTACCAACAAAGTAAATGGACAACCTACAGAATGGGAGAAAGTATTTGCAAACTATGCGTCTGACAAAAGTCTAATATCCAAAATCTATAAGGAGCTTAATTCAGAAAGCAAAAAGAAAGAAAACCCCATTAAAAAGTAGGCAAAAGACGTAAGCAGACATTTCTCAAAAGAAGGCATACAAGCAGCCAATAACATATGAGGAAAAGCTCAACATCATTAACATCAGAGAAAGGCAAATCAAAACCACAATAAGATACCATCTCACAGCAGTCAGAATGGCTACCATTAAAAGTCAAAAAACAACAGATGTTGGCAAGGCTTCAGAGATAAGGGAAGACTTATACACTGTTGGTGGGAGTGCAAATTAGTTGAGCCACTGTGGAAAGCAATGTGGAGATTTCTCAAGGAACTTAAAACAGAACTACCATTTGACTCAGCAATTCCATTACTGGGTATATATTCAAAAGGAAACGAATTGTTCTACCAAAAAGACATGCACTCGTATGTTCATTGCAGCAATATTCACAATAGCAAAGATATGGAATCAATGGTGCCCATCAATGGTGGACTGGATAAAGAAAATGTGGTACATATATAGCATGTAATACTATGCAGCCATAAAAAAGAACAAAATCATGTCCTTTGCAGCAATATGGATGCAGCTGCAGGCCATTGCCCTAAGCAAATTAATGCAGGAGCAGAAAATCAAACACCACATGTTGTCACTTATAAGTGGGAGCTAAACATTGTATACTCATGGACATAAAGATGGCAACAGCAGACACTGGGGACAACTAGAGCAGGGAGGATAGGAGGGAGGCAAGGGTTGAAAGGAGGCAAAGGTTGGACACTATGCTCACTACCTGGGCGATGGGATCATTTGTATCCTAAACCTCAGCATCATATAATATGCCCATGTAAAGAAACCTACATATGTACCCCCTGAATCTAAAATAAAAATTGACATTATAAAATAAGTTAAAATAAGATTGGAATAGTTAGTGGAAAGTCTTATCTACGTTTTTAGAAAGTTTGGACTTTATTCTTTGGGAAATGGAGAGGTACTGAAGATAGATGATAATGTATTTTTTAAATTATTTGTTCTGTTTCGTTTTTAATCTGGCAATGACATGAGAATTCTTTAAATAAAGGAAAAGCTTGAAGTCCGGGGAGGAAGTCTGGAGATTATTACAATAGAATAGGTAGGCAGTAATGAAATTTTGAATTAGGCATTGGCAGTAGGACTGAAAATTTAAAAATTAAAATGATCATCCCCATTTTGCAGATGAGAAAACTAAGACATTGTAAAGATAAATTTTAGATTTATGCTGTGTCTAATGAGTTATTATAAACAATGAGAACTAGGGAATATTATGACTGACACTCCAAAACACACAATGCAAATTTCTTAGCCTGGACACTTGTACCAGCCTATCTCCCATGCCACACACTTTTAGTTCCAGAAACCCTGAACTACAGTATTAAATGCACCACGTACATTCTCTGCACCCTTCCGCACATTGATCCCTCCATCTTGGAATTTTTTTTCTTGCAGAAGACACCTGCTCTATCCTCTGCAATCCAGTCCACCTCTGAACAGCCTTCTCCAATAGCGTCGGTGTGCATCTGTCTTGCCTAATATTGTTTGTGCATCTATTACAGCATTCATCACATTGTGCTAACGTTTATATATTTGTCTGTCTCTCCCCAAAGCCAAAAGCTAAATTGTAATCATTTTCATGTCCCCAGAATCATATACTTTAAGGACTCCATATAGCTTTAAGGACTCCATATCACTTACTAAATGAATTATTGAGCATATTCATCACTAATAATCATTAATTATTTGATTCTAGGATACAGGGAAATTGTAGTAGGCAAAAAAGATATCTAACCCATTGGATTTCCAGTCTTTAAAATGAAATAGCAAGAACCCAATTTGGGTCATGATATATTTCTGAATTAATTGTTTTTTTACCTAAAAGTCATCCAGCTGTGTATAGAGAGATAGGAAGAAGACCTGGGTTCTTATGTGTTACATTATTCAAGTAGTTTTTATTTGTAAAACTCTTCTTCTCCCTCCACCCCATCTTTTTGCCCCCTTTACTCAACCATCTCCCATCCCCCTTGCCTTAGACTGATTACCCGATCTCCAGGTCACCTGACACCCTTATTTCTTCATTCCCTAGGCTGTCCCATGACCTAATTGGGCAGTTGAGCACACAGCACTGCCGCTGCCTCTGCCTCACAATGGGAGTCTCTGGAAACACCCAATTCCTTCCCCTGGATGGAGACTGCAGCAGTCCTGAGTGGAAAGACATTCGATTGCTAACATGATTAATCATATGTTGGGAGCAGGGGAGTATAGGGGAGTGCATTTCTCGGAAAGTTTTTCTTTCCTCATTGCTTATATCACATCTACTTTCATCAAACAAAATAGGGATATGCAAAAATGAGATGTTAAATGATTCAGACATTTTTGACAAAGCACCATGCAGAGTAGACAAAAGAATATACTTAAAGGGGAACATACTCATTTCAAACCGAGTTTCATATATTCTTTACAGATTTTTCAGTGTCCACTCAGGGTACAAATATGAATCCTGCACAGCAGACGACAAGGTTCTTTGGTTTCCTACACTCAGAAGACACAGAATCCGTGATTACCTATATTTGTTGGTTCTTATAGAGAGATCTCTAGTGATATTTTAATAATGTTTAATCTGGAAAGTCAAATGTGAGTATAAATTGGGTCACATTAAAAAATACACGAACAAGGCTGGGCGTGGTGGCTCACGCCTGTAATCCCAGCACTTTGGGAGGCCGAGGCGGGCGGATCACGAGGTCAGGAGATCGAGACCATCCTGGCTAACACGTGAAACCCCGTCTCTACTAAAAATACAAAAAAAATTAGTTGGGGGCGGTGGCGGGCGCCTGTAGTCCCAGCTACTCGGGAGGCTGAGGCAGGAGAATGGCGTGAACCCAGGAGGAGGAGCTTGCAGTGAGCCGAGATCGCACCACTGCACTCCAGCCTGGGCGACAGAGCAAGACTCCGTCTCAAAAAAAAAAACAACAACAACAAAAAACATGAATAAAATTTGAGAATGGAGCATAAGAGTTAGCACAACTTCAAATTTCCTTGGAAGGAATAAGTCTTATAAATAATGTGGACAAGTTTATCATCCAGAATATGCGGGCAACTATGAACTTTATAAGTTACTATGGCTATTATGACATTGGTCTCTGGAGTGAGAACCAATTGGTGAAAATCTCTAGTCTGCCTTTTATTAGCTTTTTGACCTTGTGAAAATTTCTTCACCTTTTTGAGCCTCCAACATGGGGATAATACAAGACCAGTACCTACCTTATAGACTTGCTAGAAGGATTGAATGAGATAAAAAAAAAATGTGAAGTTTGCTAGTGGCCACATGGTAATGCATATAGATATTGTGTAAATATTGTTATTAGTTTTACTTCACTGGCTTGTAACTTTTTCAGAAATTACCATCAGAAGGAAGCAGCTATTATTTCTTTTGAATAGGCCTTAATATTATTTATGTATTGGCTGACTTCTGCACCTACTAGAAGCATTGATTATATAAAGCTAAAGGGTCAAAAGAAACCCCGTATTCAAGCTAATGTTATCATATAGAAAGTTCTGCTGTTTAGCGGCAATTATGGTATGCCAATATTTTGACTCCTCCCACAATAAGGTGAATTATAGTTTCTCTTCCCTTTAATGGAGGTTGGCTTTAGTGACTCTTTTTTAACTCCTTTTTTAAATAAAGTTTTATTCTCAAAATATATATATGTGTGTGTGTATATATATTATATATATACACACATACATACACACACCACACACCAAGAAACAAAGATGTTATTTCACAGAACTTGCTTGCCTCAGTCTTTATGAAGAACACAATTCCAAACTAATGGACAAGTTCCCCCATGATATGGTTTGGCTGTGTCCCCACCCAAATCTCATCTTGAATTGCAACTCCGGTAATTCCCACGTGTTGTGGGAGGGACCCAGTGGGAGGTAATTGAATCATGGGGGCGAGTTTTCCCGTGCTGTTCTCGTGATAGTGAGTAAGTCTCATGAGATCTGATGGTTTTATAAAGGGCAGTTGCCCTGCACACACTATCTTGCCTGCCACCACATAAAATGTGTCTTCACTCCTCCTGCACCTTCCACCATGATTGTGAGGCCTCCCCAGTCATGTGGAACTGTGAGTCCATTAAACCTCTTTTTCTTTATAAATTACCCAGTCTCTGGTATTTCTTCATAGCAGTATGAAAATGGACTAATACACTCCTTGTGCTCTAGGTCACTCAAAGGAGCCAAGCCCCTTTGTCAAATCAGGAGCTCCATCAGCCAATCAGGAACCCAGATGCCAGCGTGGGAGTTTGTCAGTGGAAATAACATTGCATGACTTCCAAGTCTGGGTAAGAAAAGGTGACATATCTATCCCCGGCTTTCTTGGGACAGGTAGCTACCTTGAACTCTGGGCCTCCATTCTGGAGCAGCTACTTAGACACAGAGGGAGATGCCCAAGAAGTCCTAGGCTGCTCTATCCTCCCACCTGTTTTAGTACCTACATCAACATGAATGAATAGACTTGAGATAGTCTCAGCTTCCAGTCCCCAGTTCCTAGCCGGTAATGAGTAGAGCGGAGACAAACTGTTATACCAATCCTTGTCCAAATTGCAGATTCGTGAGCAAAATGTTGTTTTAATTCACAGCAATAGTTATTGGGAAAAATGACCAATTTGTTTGTTTCTGTATGTATGAATGTTTTGCTTATCTGGAATGTTCGTCAGTTAACTACATGGGTACCAAACTTTGCTCAACTTGAAAACTAACTATGTGTCTGATAGTACTCCAAAAGTCATTGTTAAACAGTTAGCACCCAGTAACATTTTCCTACAAATACATGTTTAATGAACCTTAGATATAATGTAGATTAGTCTTTAAAAAAAAAAAACAAGCTCAGAGGAGTCATGTAACTTTCCTCACATTTTACAGAAAAATGATACCATTGGTTCAACTAGCTATATTTGCTTCCCTGATGTTTTACAGAATACTTACTAAAGAATATTCCCTTAGCATATTGTAGCTGCCTTCATTATTCCACCATTAGACTGTGGTTTGATTACTGCTCTATTACCCACTCCTACTAGACTATTCTCTTCTGGACAGCAGGCATATTTGTATTATTCATTCCCGTATACCTAGAAACTGGCATGTCCTCAATTAGTTAAATGCCTCTTGATAAAAGATTATTTGGAATCTTTTTGGATGGATATAGGTCAGTGGTTCTCAGTACAGAAATACTTAGGTTAAGGCCACAGTCCTGCAGACTGATTGAATTGGCTTAGAGTGGAACCTAGGTCTCTGTGAATTTTAAAAGCTCCTAAGCTAAGTCCCTTCAAGTAGCTCTGTTGTCATGTGTAGCTACCAATTGTGTTTCCACAGGTAGATCATGTCCCCAACACTGTTTCTACACAAAAGCAATGACCTACAAAAGGTCTCTTGGAGGATGAGTTTTGTTTTTTTTTTTTTAATCTCCATTCATAACTCATTGTCTGATCAATAGTTATGGTAACTGGACATTGGAAGGCAGGAACAGGAGAGGTGGCAAAAGTAGTATCCAATATGAAGCAAATTTTCCCACCACCACACATCTAGGTTGGTTTGTTTTAACCTCCCAGAAGCTGACCTTTTGGCCATCTAAGTACTCTAAGTAAACCATGATGCCTAAGGGAGCAGCTTGGCTTCTGAAATACCACTTGATCTATAAAGTTTGGCCCTGGGGTTTTGTCTACCCTGGAATCAGATGCAGAAGAAAGGGAAATAGATAGTTACACTATTTTAATTTGATCCTGAAAAAACACTGCAATGGAGTCTGCCGAAGGCTGTGAACTATGTTAACTTCCAAGAAAAAAATGTGAACCTGACTGTTTTTCTTTATTTAAACCTCATGCTGAATTTGTATTCCCATGAGATTTTATTTATCTGTTTGTTTATTTTTTTCCTTTGGCAAAATAAGCAATTGTAGACACCTCTCATATGGGAAAACAAAGTAAGTCCCATAGAAATAAATGAAATAAACAAATATAGGGCATATTTAAACATAAGAGTATAATAGCTATAAAGCCAGTGCAGTGTAACTAAGCACACGCAAGCTTTGGCATCACAGATTTCTCACTAGCTGTGTAGCCATGGTTAATTTACTTCAATTCTCTTCACTTCAGTTTCTTCATTTGCAAGATATCAACCCAATAGGATTGTGACTGAAATCAAATGAGGCACCCAAGTCTAATATGAGAAAAACATGAGAAAAATTCCAGGAGGGGGACATTCTACAAAATACCTGACCAGTACATCTCAAAATTGTCACGATCATCAACAAGGAAAGATTGAGATACTGTCATAGCCAAGAGACGCCAAAGGAAAAATGACAACTAAATGTAATGTGGTATCCTGGATAAGATCCTGGAATGGAATAGAAAATGGGCATTGGGTAGAAACTGAATAAAGTAGAGACTTTAGTTAATAACAGTATGTTGATGTTGGTTTAATAATTGTAACAAAGGTACCATATTAATGTAAGATGTTAACAATCAGAGTAACTGGATTCAGGGTATATGGAAACTTTCCATTCTATTTTCTTAATTTTTCTATGAATCTAAAACCAAAAACTAAAGTCTACTTAAAAAAAAAATCACAGGAGGCAACATACATAAAAGCATATAGTTGGTGCTCCATAATGTAACCTCTTCTTTTCTGGGCAGTGTGGAAAAACAAACTGTTGTTCATGTCTTCTGGGATCTTTTGCCCCTTTCTAATCCAACCAGAAAGGTTCTGGGGAGAATGTAAGTCATCTCTATATTCTCATCTGCAGGTAGCCAGGGGTGAGAATAGCTACATTTACTTAAGTTTAGTCTGTGGAGTAGTTTCTGCTACAGAATGATTCTTGTTAGACCCTGTAAGAGTTCTTTTGGCTCAGGTCCCCAGAAAATAAATTTACAAACCCTTAAATCAGTTCAACGTATCAGGAACGGCCATATAAATCCATTCTCGTTGTTTGCAAGAAACTATTGTACGTTAAAATATTTAAGATTAGGAACGAGACCTATATAAAAATGTTTCTAAGAAAACTTTTTCCTAAACATAATATATAAGCTATTTAGACTGCTTCACGTGCCCAGGATAGAGTTACCCTTTTTTTTTTTTTTTTTTTTTCTGGGTTGGTGGTACTTTACCTCTCTTTTATTGTACCAACAACCCAAAGATTAAATAATTAAAGACTATAATCAGTTCTTTTTAGAATGGAGGTAAAAATATGAAAAATTTAAATCCTGTTATTTTTCCAAATTACACAAAAAAATTAACTTATAAATCATAAAGACTTTCAAGTAAAATTTTACTTTGACAAAGTAGGGATTCTAGGCAAAATTAACTGTATAGTTTGACAACTCTCTTAGATACCTCTCAACTTATGATGTGGAGTGGAATTTTTATCTGCACATTAAGTTTTAAGTCAATACAACATTAAGGCATAAGATATCACTTTCTATACTTGAAAAGGTATTCCAAAGTTTCTCCATATTCTCCCCCATCAAAGAAGTTGTGCCTAAAATTCAAACAATTTGATCTTGAATTTAGATGTAGCAAAATTCAGAAAGAATGTCAATCAGTGGCTTGTCTAAATTCCCACAGTGTGCTGGGATTCACATACTTACTGTTGAGGTCTTTGTCAGGTGGTATGCCCAGTGACTCTCTGCCCAGGATTTAAGATTCCTTAGCTGTATTAACACATTTGAAAACATTATTCCGATCAGTAGTCTCTAAGTGCCTTCATTTTCTCAAGTACAAAATGGACATAATTGAATATTTACTACATCTTAGAGAAGTGTGCAGCTTTCAGCACTCTGAAACATTTAAGAGGCTCAGGTGAAAGATTAAAGAATTAAGTGTACACACCGTCTTTCTTAATTTTGATCCACATGAGTAGTATTCAGCATAATGTAATACAGCAGGTTACAGAGCATAATTTGGTGTATTGCACAAAATATCTCAGAAAGCACTAGATAGACCTAAATAGAACCCAATCACCTACTCTGTTAGTAAGATTGTTTCAGAGATAATATAGGTAATATTTCACAGCTGCTATTTTTTTCCGTTAAAACACAACATTTTCCTTGTTTATTGGGCTGATTTTGACCTTCATTTAAGTGAATAATTCACTCATTCCTTGTTAATAAGAGGAAGTGAGCATAAAAAAGAAAAAATAAAATTCTAGTTCTTGAGGCTATAAATTTACCACATATATCTAAATGATTTTCTAAATAGCCTTCAAGACATATATATATATATATATATATATATATATATATATATATATATATAAATGCATGTATAATTATATCTATATCTGTATTATCCCATAATGTAAATATTATTTGCTTTCAGGGCAGTCTTTCTTATGGTTGTTATGTTGCATAGTTCAGTATCATTTTTATACAAACCTCTTCCTTTAATGACTTTAACAATTCTTTCTGCTTAAATTCTAGTGGCCATTGTATAAAAATATTTTTTATTCTAAATTACCTATTGTTACTGAGAAAGAGAATTCTTGAGTGAAAAACTGAAATTTGTTATTTCGATGTGCACAGTAAGTTAGATCGATAGTAAAATTCTAAAAGGGGAAGAAGATAATCTGCTTTCTGATATTGTGTCCTTTGTTTCTTCAACCATTAACATCTGTGAGCCGCTGTCAGTAATTTCTTTAATGAGATTATTGTGTTTTTCTTTTAGAAATGTAACTGTCAAGCATTTTACATTTGTCCTTGCTAATAATTCCCCAGGCCTTTATTAAAGAGATTTACAGATTTCTTAAATCCACAGTCCTGCATCACTCTGATACCCACTTCTAATAAAATAATAAATTAGATTTTATTCTTTGCTTTAGCCTTACAAATGAGCAAATAAAAAAAGTGTTTACTGAATAATCTGTCCAAAGCCAAAATAAATCATATGCTTCTCTTTTTCAAGCGTTTTGATAGCTATAAATGAGCACCTACTTGACATTGAATAAAATGACCATTTTAACGTATGCATTTTTATCAAAAAGAGAAACTCATAATTGGAAAACAAGAATTGTGATTCAGGAGCTTTTCAAAGAAAACATTAAATAACTGCAAATTAATCAAACATTTTCTCAACAACCTTACTTTCTTACTTTTGTAGGTTTGCCTAAGAAAACATGTTAAATTGCGGGATGCTTTTTTTCCAGTTCTCACTTGAGCAGATCCGTTTAGCTAAGTAGCTTAAGGTGTATAATTTAGAAATATTTTCAAACATCTTCACTATAACTACAAAATAATCAGATGTTCATCATTTAAAATGAAATGCTAAACTGTTTGGAAATATTCTCTAAAACCAGCAAAAATCACCAGGCAGATGATTTGCCTCTCAGTGTCTTCCTCTCTACCTGCATTCTTTCCTCTTTCTCTCCATAATGCCATGTTGTAGTACATCCTTCTTAGCCTCCAATCAACATTTCAAGCACTGGGATCATGTTTGATATTGTCAGATGGCCTGGAAAATTAAAAACCCAATTAAAGGCTCAGCACGCGGGTCAGCTCTTCTGCATATCAAAAGGCCTCCTCTGGCTATTCTGCTCAAATTGTATCTGTTAACAGCTCACTTTGCAGAAAGTGAAATAGCAGAGCGTTTATGAGTAATAAGTACTTTCCAGCTGATACATTTCAAACATAAACCACTTTCATGGCCCCGGCAAAAAGTACAAGTCATAATCAAATTGTCAATTTTTTCCTGTGAGATGCATGGATCTATTGTAACTGTGATTGTTAAAGGAAATGCATTTTATTCACATGTTGGGGGAAAAAAAGATGCACATTTTCCCTACAATTAAAGATTTTTTTGTCACTTTTTTACTGCCTTTCCTTTACATTTCTAAATAGTTACTATAATTGATTTTCGGGTTGCATTCTTTTTTTTTTTTTGGTAGGAGAATCATTTATAGTTTTTATGTAGTGGAAGAAATGGTTGGAGTGAATAGCATTTTTGTTTAGCTGGGGTATTAATGTTCACCCAAATGTTTATAATGTGAATGTGCAAAGCACTAAAAGCTTTCGAGCTAAATGCAAATTAGTCGAGCACTCAAATGACATTTTTAGAAGGAGTTTTCATCTGTCAATGTGGCATAATATTAAGTCAAACTAAAGTCACTACTTTAGCTACTGGCCATTTGAAAAAAATTTTCATAAGATACCAGGGTTGACAGAAAAGAAAACAAACTACATAAATATTTTTCAACATATTATATGAACCAAGCAGCTGCTACAGGATTTCACAAGAAGTTAGCATATAATGTCTCCACTTAGAATATATTGTGAGTGTATGCAATGTCAAAAATCTAAATCCCTGGGTTTTGCATAATGCATTAAGGTCCACATCTAGACAAGAAAGATTTTTCAAAGAAATGTCACGTGATGAAATAACACATATTTCCCTCAGTTAAAAAAAAATAAAAATAATCTTGGTGATAATCCAAAAAATATTGCAAATTATTAAAATGAGTACCCACTGCAAAGTGCATTTTTATACCTCAGATTATGCCTCTTGAAATAAACACTACTGTTTCTAAGTGTTTCCTGTGTCTATTGGTTAATTATTTGTAGTGAGTACTTGATCTCTATATTGTTTTCAAAACAAGAACCTACTAGGACCTAAAGTAATTGTCTAGGATTATTGAGAATCCGGACTCATCACAGGAAAGAGAATTGGTAGCTACAATAGAAGGCTCACCTTAAACCCACCTCCACTGCACCTAGATATAGTAAGCCCAAACTCACCCCACTGTTTGAGGCACTGGCAACACGAGGTGGAATGGAGGGTTGTTGTCATTAATGGAGGATGAGCCTGCACGCTGATGCTTTAAAATCTGCATTTGGTGGACTCATTGCCACCGTATATGTTGACATTCTCTTCCAATATGTCCACATACCCCTTGATGCTTTTTCTTCTCACTGTAAATAATATTTTATTGTGCATTTCACAGATGCCAATAATGTATTTTAAAGTGAGGTGCTCCCTTTTTTCCATAAAAGGGGAAAAATAAAAGATGGAGGAAGAGCTTCAAATTTTACTTCCAACCCTCTTTATTGACTTCATTTATTAGTAACTGGGTGGTTTTTCATCTAGTCTTCAATACATTTTTAAAGATTTTTCCAAGCTTGGGACATTGGTCTCAAAACACAGCAGCCGATCCCACCATGGCGCCTTTGGGTCCGTAATAAAAGAAGCGACAGATCCTAAACTACAGAGGCATGAGTGGGCGCCCTATTAATGACTCAAGCGCCTCACTACACCTTATTCATATTAAAGGGCAACATATTGCATATTAATAGACAATTTAAAATAATTACAGGCTTTAATCTTTTCTAAAGAACAGTTTCTTGTCTCTTGAAAGTTTTGTACTTTTTATATAAAAAAGAAAGCAAGTGCTTTTTCAGAGAAACAATGTATAATAATATGTCAGTAAAGATTGAGCAATTTTGAGTAGTGATGGGTGAAAAGGACATTATGTTCTTTTTTCTTGTCATGGTCGGTATTTTTCTGTCAGTCGGCAAAGGCTGCACTCAGCAAGAAGAAGCTAAAGACCTGCATTGAGAGACGTGAGGGTGACAGCTACCCTGACAGGTCAGAAGATGACTGCAGAATTAGCCTTACTTTAATTCGCACTAAAATTCACAGCTCCTGACGAGGAAATGGGAAAAAGAAATTTCCTTACACATTTTCTTTTCATTTCATGTGCAGATTATACATATTCTGCTTCCATTAACAAGAGGGAGATTGTACTTTATGCAGCTCTATATTTAAGGGCAAAAGACCAAGAAGATGACAAGAGTGACCTCTCTCTTGTCTTATGATCACTGCCAGTTTGACATGACACTAATTAGACTGCCTTAATCTAAACCCAGTTAGTTCTGCATGCTTGCAGCAAAACCATTGTAAACCCTAATGTAAATTGCCTTAGGCCTTTGTCTTCTTAAATCCTGCCTCTCTCCTCCATCCGCAACCCCCATCTTTACATACCCACATGTATACATATGAAAAACTAGATCTTTAATAATCCTAACCCATTAATCTTAACAAATAAACCCACGAATGTCCTCCTAATATTCCTTTTCTGTAAATGTCACCAATTTCCACTACGTAATGCTGTCTGGTATGACTTGCTGGACATGGTTGGAAGTCTCCTTTCATTGTAAAAGCCTTGAAGGGAATAAAGGTCTGAAAAGGCCACGGAGACTTTTAAAGTACATGATGACGCCAAGGCTGTGAAATATGTTTAAGTGTGAATTGAATACCCTTCTCAAAAAAAAAAAAAAAAAGGAGAAAAGGGAAAAGAAAAATAAAAACTGAAGACATTCTCTTTATCAGCTGATTAAAAAGAGAGTCGATTAATTCGGCAAGAGTTAATACATTATAAGGAGGAGTCTAAAAGAAGATCCAGTAAGTCAATGTTCTCTTAGAGACCCAAAGGAATTCCAAGAATGGAGAAAATAAAAGGAAGGAAAAGAAAAGATGAATAAGCTAAGATCTATTTAAGAAATACCGAATACATATAATCACACATAAACCCCTTGAATGAGTTAAATGAATCCAGCCAAACTATTACTTATATGAAACATTATCTGGTCAATGCAAAAAGCAGGAGGTGGCCATACTAAGCCTTTCCCTAACAAAGAAATTGGTAGTTGGACATTCATAGCCGCACTTTCGCTCTAGCAAAGCCAAGGTTGTTTTTCTCCTATTGGCTGCAACAGCTTTACCATAAGGACATACTTATTCCCCCAAAATATACGTGGCCAGAGATATATGCTAATGAGATGGGATTTCCAATGGTCTCTGTACTGCGTAAAATGTAAATATGCTCTTAAAGCTGGAGTTGAGAAATGGGCTGCTTCTTCAGACCTGTGAGGCTGACATTCGCTTGCATCTCCTATACCTTAGGCAGTAGGGCCAGAAATCCTACCCACAGTGTTGACCGATCCAGTAAGTACATGTATTCTAAAGCCTGTTCCCACATCCCATTTATAACGATTTCGTACTTATTTTATAATAACGTCTACCATATGTTGAACACCTTCTCTGTACCAGAGTCTGAGCTAGGGCTTCATGAACATTAACTCATGTTATTCTGACCACAATCTTTGAACAAACGTATTATTTTCCCATTTTACAGAGAATGAAATTGAGGATCAGAGAGTCTACATAGCTTGCCTAGAGACAAACAACTAGGATGGGCAGTGCCAGGATCAAACTCTTACGGTCAAGCTCCAAGACTTACTATGCAAACAGGGGAATGTGTAGGAAGAGAGGTGCTACAATACAATTGGAAGTGGTAGAAACTGTGGTTAGCTGAAGAAAGCAAGACCATCCAAAGGCTAAGATAGGTCTATGGGTAAATGATGCATTCAGTCTACACCCCTGGACAATGTCACACTGCCTCTGCTTTGGGAGTCTTACAAATAGCCACTCTCTAGTAGCAAAGTTACAATTCATAAAATAACAATGGGGAAAATATGGATTTTATTTCTTTTCCACTCTTAATCTCTACATGAATGTCGTGATCAGGGAGAGAATCACTCAACAGAGCCACCTTAGGTCAGAACCTAAGTAGACCTTCTTTAGTTGGTATTGTTTTGTTGTTAACAAACACCAGCCATTGTCTGTAAATTTCCCTGTCTTGGTTTTGGTTTGTGTACAGATTTTCTTGGCTGAATAATGGAAAAGTCACTGCTAATGAATATTAAAAGCCTGTAATTTAGTCAAAAACAATGTTGTCCACAGTTTTTTTCTGAGTAATTTCAGTTGTGTGTGTGTGTGTGTGTGTGTGTGTCTTTTAAATCAAGCATAAATGGTAGATAATGTTCCTCTGAATGGGGCCCTTAGGCTTTCTTAGCTGAGGCTTGTTTAGCTTGCCAAGTTTAAATATTTTCTGAACTGATCCCAGAACTGAGAAGCCTTCATCACAGCACAGCATTAAAAATGATGGATGTGATACATATTTAATACAATAAAATGGCCATTTATATGCCCATACTAGACACATGGGAAATCCTCACAGGAAAGATTTCTAAAATCAAAAGGGGCCTATTCTCTAATCGATGTGAGGGGATTTACACGGATAACTCCCATTAATGCTAATGGGTGTTATGAGCTTATATACTGCATGCACCATTGGCAAGATACACTCAGTGCCACTCGAAAGGAAGCTGTTGCACTGATGAGATTCCATAAGAGTATTCTGGGAGAAGGAAAATTTGAGGAAGAGCTAAAATGACAGTAAAGTTGCAGCCATAGTTTGCTTCATAAAAACACTGCTTTCCCCTCTCTCAGGGGCCTGAGTTTAGGATGACTGCTACTAGGATGTCTTTTGAACCACAGGTTATGGTGCAGGGTGGTTACAATATTCAGACTCATAAACTGGATTTCATAATGCTGTTAACTCTTAAATGCAATGCCTGGTTAGGTGCTCTGGTAGATTTCGGAAAGTGAGTGACGCTGGAAATAATTATAACAAGTCAAGTCTAAATCACATGATAATACTTGCTTCCTCTTACTCTAGGAAGAGAAAAGGAGCTGCTTATATAGACCTAGCTACCTCCTGCCCCAAACCCTGGGAGAAAGACAGACAGTTCCTATCTCTTGTTCAACTATTACTTTAAGGTCTTTATCTTTGAAATTAGTCTGCTATCGGTTTTATTAGGCATAATGTGACAAATTTTCGGGATAAAGTACTCTCGTCTGGGTTGATTTTGCCCAAAGTGGAGTAGTATGAACAATTATTGATGATCAAGGAGTTATAAGTACATTCCCTTTTTATAGGTATATTTTATTTTGCAACCACTAAAAGTGGTTCATTTACTAGAAATACAACACCTTAAATTGACACTTCACTGCAGAGAAACTCACTATTATTCACACATAATGTTTCATATTTAAAACAACTATCTTTCCCTAATATTGGGAGTAGAGAGAAATTGAAACACCAAGGGACTAGATCAAAAACCACTCAGACCATGAGTGGAATGGCTAATTATCTGATTGTCCATTCAAGTATTCACCTTTTTTTCTGAACACTCCTGTAGTGTTTCCTCATGTGACTTTCTTGTGGCACTAATCAGACATTATATTGTACTATAGTTATTTATGTGCTTCTTTCAGATGCCCTAAGCCACAAATTCTTCAGGTCAGGATCCACTTCTGATTCATCTCCACATTGTCACACTCTCAGTAGTTTCTCAATAAACACTAAATGAATAAATGAAAAAATGACCAATACCCATCTGTGACTGATCTTTCCACTTCTTTTTAGTGTATGAGCTACACGCTATTCCTATAGTGTTCTTTCCAAAATTCGTATAAACATCCTTGAGGAAAAAGAGCAGAAGGGATTTGGGAAGTATGAAAATCGCTTCTGACCCTTGGAGCAGAAGGAGAGGTGAACTGCCTTAGTCTGCGTTGGACACAGTGTTGTTGAACAACTCTGCAGAATCTTTCTCCCTCACTCTCCACGTGGACTCTATGTCCCACCTATAATCTTGTACGGCTGCAACAGACCACATGGCCCATAACTTACAATGCCACCTAACAGAGTCCTCTCCCATTGAGAGGACTTACATGTATTTTTTAAGAAGAATAATTTTGGATAGCTTCATACTCTTGGTGTTTGAGGAGGAGTATTAGATCCCAGTTGAAAATGAGGCCATCTCCTTTTTGTACAGCCATCCCCTTATATCCATGGGGGATTGGTTCCAGGACACCTGCAGATACCAAAATCAGCAGATCCTCAAGTCTCTTGTGTAAAAGGTAGCATATTTGCATATAACCTACACATATCCTCCTACATACTTTAAAGTCATCTCTAGATTACTTATACTACCTAATAGAATGTAAATGCTATGTAAATAGTTTTTGTATTGTTTAGGGAATAATGACGAGAAAAAATCTGTACATGTTCAGTGCAGATGCAATTTTTTTCAAATATTTTCAATCCTCAGTTGGTTAAATCCATGGATGCAGAACCCATTGATACGGAACCCACAGATACAGACAGCTAACTGTACATTTCTTTATAAAACTCTCAGGTGACTTGCATGAAAGGACAATATTTGAACTCTAGAAACAATGCCTAAAAAATATTGTTGGCTATATAATATTTGAAATCTTGAAACTTAAGGAAAATACTTAAATCTCCTAAGTAATGTAAATTAAGACAATGATATGTGAGGGTAAACCACTTAAAGACCTGGCTGTATACTGTTCCTTTAAAAAAAAAAAAAAAGTCTGGTGTTATGCTGGAAACTGATGAGACGCAAACATATTAACAGTTACCAAAATAGCTGATCAATCTAGTTGATTTCGTAAATAAAAATGAGGCAGCCCTCAGAGAAATGCAAATCAAAACCACAATGAGATACCATCTCACACCAGTTAGAATGGCAATCATTAAAAAGTCAGGAAACAACAGGTGCTGGAGAGGATGTGGAGAAATAGGAACACTTTTACACTGTTGGTGGGACTGTAAACTAGTTCAACCATTGTGGAAGTCAGTGTGGCGATTCCTCAGGGATCTAGAACTAGAAATACCATTTGACCCAGCCATCCCATTACTGGGTATATACCCAAAGGACTATAAATCATGCTGCTATAAAGACACATGTACACGCATGTTTATGCGGCACTATTCACAATAGCAAAGACTTGGAACCAACCCAAATGTCCAACAATGATAGACTGGATTAAGAAAATGTGGCACATATACACCATGGAATACTATGCAGCCATAAAAAAGGATGAGTTCATGTCCTTTGTAGGGACGTGGATGAAGCTGGAAACCATCATTCTCAGCAAACTATTGCAAGGACAAAAAACCAAATACCACATATTCTCACTCACAGGTGGGAATTGAACAATGAGAACACATGGACACAGGAAGGGGAACATCACACACTGGGGACTGTTGTGGGGTGGGGGCAGGGGGGAGGGATAGCATTAGGAGATATACCTAATGTTAAATGACGAGTTAATGGGTGCAGCACACCAACATGGCACATGTATACATATGTAACAAACCTGCACGTTGTGCATGTGTACCCTAAAACTTAAAGTATAATAAAAAAAAATGAGGCAGCCTTGCTTGTAGATGCCAGTTAGGCAAAATAACTGGTTAATCTACACATCCTATCCTTATCCCTTAGTCTCACTAGCCTATAGTCACATATGTTTTCTTTCATGTAATTCTCAAATGAGAAATAAAATGCTCAAAAAAATTGAGCAATGCTCATTTGGTTTGCTTACATTGTTTTTACCTCAGCAATATAATAATTTTAAAGAATATAAAGTAATTGTACAACTGAACAGAATACAAAAATAAAAAGTCAATTTTACTTTTCACTCCAGAGCACTTCCTTTCTGCAAACATCTTCCACTGACATCCACCTCTATCCCCACTAGCGGTTGTAAGTTTGGCCTGATACACAGTTCAGTGGCATGCAGGAGAGACATAAAGTTAAAATGAAAATTAAGCACTTTATTGACAAGAAGAATTAACATCCAACAAAAAATAAAATCCATATGCACCTTTTTGCTGAGGAAAAATGATGTGCAGACAACACAGACTATTGATTTGAACCAATGGAAGTTAAAGCAGAATATTTATTGGACCTTACAGTATTTAAATGCCTTAAATTCCACTTAGTACCACTAGCTGCTAGCACTGCAGAATTCTAGAATTGCACCCTGCAGTTTGTACTAATTGGTGGGAAATGGAGGCCTGATGTCAAAGACAACTATAATTGTCTGATGAAAATAACTTGCTTTTGACACCAGTATATGTTGCACCCCATACATCACATCCTCCTTGCGTAAGGAGGTGTTATTTTATATAGCCAAGGTAATTATAATTGGCTTTAATGTATCTGAAATAACTACATAGAAAAGAGTCTTGTAAGAAAGAAGAGGCTTACAATGACCTAGTAGCATTTATGACAAAATGGTTCCTCAAGGAATTTTTAAATTTTTTTTAAAAGCCTAACCAAAAGCATTGGCTTATATTATGCAGGTTTTAGAATGTTAGAAAGCTGCAATTTAGAGACAATCCTATTTTGACCATAATGTATTTTGTCATGTGAAGATAAAATGTAGGAGACGTTTACATTTCTCCAATCCACTGAGCTTCCAGCCCAGGACTTGCATTTCTTTTCTCACATCAATCGACATCTTTTTAAACATTGTAATCATGTCTATCTCCCTTGTCAGCAAATAAAATTTGATAAATAAAATTCCATATGATAAATATGTTAGATTTAAGGAGCAGCCTTGATAAAGTGTGGATGTTTTCAAAAATGAGTTGTGAAAAACCAATACATTTAACAAGGCTAATGTGTTACCAGTTCCAAATATATTATGGATGATGTGCAGAAGTATAATGACCCAAAAGAGCATTTGCACAGGTTTTCACACTGCTTAAATTACTGCTAGATAGAAAAAAAACATTCTCCAGAAGTTGGACCCGTTGCCTCTGTAGATCAACATCTGACTGTAGCAACATCTTGGCTTGTCACTAAATTTCAAATTAACAGCAGCCACCAGTAACTTATTACAAGGGAGTATTTTCACTTCACAAGCATCAAATCCTATGGCACATTTTTATAATATGCAGCCTTTCCTCCCATCCCTTACTCTAAACCTTCTGCCAGGTTTTGTTCTCCTGACCTACTACCTTCCTAGTTAGCCAAACCCACTCCATTACCTTGAAATCTTATTAGTTATGCAAATATTCACAGATAATTTGGAAAGAAGTGATGATGCTTCCTCATTTCTGTGGTCTTCAATTCTACAACACTCATTATACTTTACATAACAAAATGCACTTCACACCTCAGTTTTTCCTGTACAGGATTGTGACATTAACACACACTTTGTGTTAAAATAAGCCAAGTAATATGCTAAATATTTTACATGTGTTATTTCATTGAATCCTTACCTCAATTCTGTCAGAGTTACTATTAATTACTTCCATTTTGCAGATGAGAAAATTGAGTTTTGATGCCAATGCCGGTGCTTTTAACCACTTAGTAATACTTCCTATCCTCTATGAAATATATAAGGTTATGCTGCGTTCATATTTTTTTCAGATTATGTCTACCCAACAAGAATGAACGTTATATAGACTCTACCACATAAGATATGATTGTATCATGTTGCTAATGACAGCCAAAATATATAATGTATAATTTTAATAGCTTCAAATGTGTATAATTTTTAGATTTCCTTAGAATACCACAGTAATTACACCAGGGAAGCTATGTCAAAACTCTGATGAAATCATCACAAATTCTCTACCAAGATGCTGTAATAAATCTTGAATTGATGAAGCAACCATTTACAAATGAGACACATGTATAGTGATAAAAATAGGGTACAAGAAATGGGGAGATCCCTTGGAAACATCCTGCAAACTACAAAGTGGTCTCCTGTTGTTAGTTATATGTATAATATTTTAAAATTCCTCACCTTTCCTTTTTGCGTATATGACCTACAACACATTTATATAGGTTTTATACATTACATTATATGTGTGTTTATTCCTTCATAGCTTGAAAAATACTATGAAAGTGATTTGTTCACCCTGTTGCTTTTGGCATAGTCAGTTTATCTTTTTAGAAATAATATCATTTTAAATAATAAGAAAAGAGAATAACTGAGCACTGATTTTAGAGTAGAAATAAGAAAATTATAGAGAATAATTACTGGCAGCCTCTATACACTCTATCAGAGGAGGCCTTCAGTATGAGCATCCACTTGTTTTCGCTGTGGAGTTGTGTCTATTAAAGAAAACATATTGAATTTTTATGGGTCATTTCTATTAGTAAAATCTTCCTACTACATCATACTGCAATTTAGTGGGCTCCTACTTTGTATCAGACACTGGAATGGGTATAATACATAGGTAGATACAGATATAGATCTGTAATAATAATAATAAAAGTCATAGCCTGAATATATCAAACATTTTCTATTAAATATTTGACATGCAATGTCCAATATTTATTTATCCAATAAGTTATTTATTCATTAACATATGTATTGAGACAAACCTTGTTCAAAGTTGCAGATAGGATAGAGAAATGAATAAAACAGACAGGTAATATAAAGGATAAGTACTATTTTTAACCTCTGTTTTACAGATAAGAAAGCAGAGACCCCAAAGTATTTATGAAGCTTGCCCAGCATTGTAAGGCAAAAGGGTAATGAAGGTGAGGTTTCACCTCTCCGTCTGTTAGCATGAGAAATCTTGCACTTACCCCCAACATGCCTCCATGCTGTGTACAATGTGGGCTTATTACTATGATGGTCATGAAGGACTTTTCCTACTGTTTGGGTAAGAGAAACTTAAGATTAGTACTTAACCCAACTTAATTCTGATATAAATTCTTATGCAATAAACATTCAAGGGTTTATCAAAAAGGATTATTTTAGTCATTAAATCCAAGATTTTAAAAATCAGAAAAAAAATTATATGCTGCCAGGTAGTAAAATTTAAACCACTATTCTTTCAGGATGGACCTCTTTAGCGTGGCTTACTTTTGTAGCTATTAATGGAAGGCTGGTCATGGTGGGGTAAGAATATGAGTAAGAATAGATGTCTTAGTTTCAATCTATGGCTCTAACATTAACTATTTTAATTTTTTGACAAAATTTAATGAGTACCTATTAAACATCAGACACTGAAATAAGTGCTGGGGATACAGTGGTGGAAAAGAAATATCCCTGACTTTATGTAGCATACAAAATAATCAGGGCACCAGGCATTACACGAATCATTGAAAAATGAGAATTGTGAAGAATAAAAATAGGGTGTTTAAGAGAAAGATTAACTTAATGGAGTTATTGGGAAAATCAAATTTAGAATGAGGGCCAGGCACAGTGGTTCACACCTGCAATCCCAGCATTTTGGGAGGGTGAGGCGGGCAAATCACCTGAGGTCAAGAGGTTGAGACCAACCTGGCCAACATGGTGAAACCCCGGCTCTACTAAAAATACAAAAATTAGCCAGGCATGTTGGCGCACACCTGTAATCTCAGCTTCTCAGGAGGCTAAGGCAGGAGAATCGGTTGAGCCCAGGAGGCAGAGGTTGTGGTGAGCAGAGATCGTGCCACTGTACTCCAGCCTGGGCAACAGAGCAAGACTCTGTCTAAGAAAAATAAAATAAAATTAAAATTAAAAAATAAAATAAAAATAAAAATAATTTAGAATGAGGCATCAGAGGAAGGCAACTTGGAGAAAATGATTGTGAAGCTGAAATTGAAAGGATTAGTGATATTGGCACAGGTGAGGACTGATATAAAGAGGCTTCTAGGAAGAGACAAAGATGCCAGCAACTCAGGATTGAGAAAGAGCTAAGCATGCATCAGAAACAGAGACAAGGTCAGAGTGATCAGAGTCAAGGTGCCTGGGGTTGGGAGTGGGATGGAAGGCATGTGACACAGCAGAAGTGGGCAAGGCTGAATCACGAAGGTCTTGTTGAGGATGCTGGCTATTGGAAGGCACAGGCCCAAAGCCAACTGTGAAGACTTTCCAAGCTCCACCGGATGCCACGATGCATGAGGCCTCAGGCAGCCAGAGTCCTGCTGCACATGAGATGTGTGTGGCAGAGAAGGATGAGGAAATGGTATGAGGGAAACTGTGGAATCACGCTTTACCTTCTCTATCACCGTCTGCCAAAATTCTACACATAGAATGCTAGTTGGTGCTGTCTAAATGAGATTGAGGTAAGGATTCCTGGTAGGACCATGAAGAAGGTACTGGTGACCTTACACAGTTCCGTTCTGATTCCCCTTCTGCATCCTGTACAGAAAGCACCCAAAAGCAGCCACTGAGGGAAATGAACCTGAGGAAAGAGGGCCAAAGTGGGTGATACCAGGCAGCCCAGAACAATGCTTCCAGAATTTCATCACTTCAACAAGAGATGAGCTGTCCCAGGAACAACTGATATGTTCTGACACTTTTCCCCTGTTGCACATGCTAATTTTGTACGTGATATTGTTTTGCACAAAATAATTACATTTGATTGATAACTTCCATGCCACATTTCAATTTAATTGGAAACAGCCCAATATTCTCCGTTTAAAAAAAGGAAAAAGAATGCAGAAAATGTACACGAGGAAAACACTCTTTCTCTTTGTAGTTTTCAGCCAAAATTTGCATGCTTATCGGAGAACTCCTGTTATAAGCACTATATCCTTACACAGATAAATATTTTTTACCAAACAATTATAATTGACTACAGACTTAAGGCAGAACACTTTTAATGTAGTTCAGATTGAGGTAAAAATATATTTTCTAACACAACATTAAGCATAATTATGGATTTTTGTAAACAAAATATTATTCTCTGGATAAAATAAATCTTTATAATTGGTAATATTAGTAAAGATAGAAAAAAGCTTGTGCCTTTAGAGCTATTTGAAAGTCTGTTTCATTTTGAAAAATAACATAACTATCTTCATTCATACTTAATTACCCTCAATTTGTTCAGACATTTTCTGGGAAAAATAACAATGCAGGGGCATAAACAGCCTCATGTTCATATTCATAAGTTCATATTAGAATTATTTTCTGTTCTATTGTAAATACAATTAATAATATTAAAAGTATTCTGACCATTTTCCTGAAACAATGAGTCACAGAAAGTTTCCTTCCTGCAAAATTATTATGCAAATCGTTAAAATATTGAAATGAAGCTAAGAACTGATCCTCTAACAGATCAGTCCTGTTATAATTTGTTGACAATGATTATCCCAAATAATCTATTTGAGATAAAGTAAAAGCAGCTAGGGAAGAAAACTTAATAGAAAAATTACACCTACGGAGCATTTAAATGTAGGTGCTGAATAAATTATCTATACGTTAAAAGGTTCATATATTTCAAAGAAATGACAAAAACTTTGAAAAATTCTGAGAAAATTTAACAAAGAGCAATAGAATTCTAAATGTGATCAAAACTGTAGAACTCTATTAAATGTGTGACCTTGTTGCAAACAAATTCCTCTTTTCAGAGCCTGTTCTTTTATTGGATTGCTCTGCCATTTTCTGGGATATATTTTAATGTTGTACAAAGAAAATGAATTTCATGGATTTGATTTAACAGTTCAGTTTCTCCACATTACTATTGTACTACGATGGAAGTTTGCTCTTTTATTCAGTTGTCTACTCCATTTTAGGTTTGAAAGGGGTGTGTGTGTGTGTGTGCGCGCACACATTTAACATCATTCTGCTTAAGGCACAAACCATGTATTATTCAAGAAAAGTCTTATCATTTTACCAATAATGTTCAGCGCATGCTCCGTAAAACAGCATCTGATCAATAAAAGTTAGATTCAGCAAATCATTTGACCTACACTCTCACAAATGACTAGATGAGGAAGCTTTCCAGGGCTCATAGAGTATTGCACACTACGCCAGAGAGCTGATTTGTGGAAGTCATTTTCTACTTTTTAAATTATCTTCATTGATTTTGATCCTTTTGAAATTTGGTTTATTTTGAGGCAAACTTAATTGTGGGGACACATACTATTTCCATAAGGGAGCTTTTTAATTAATAAAGTCAAAGCAATGACATAAATACACTGAAAGAAGCAGACATTGTGTTTATATTTTAGGAATCCAAAGCTTTGTGATTATAGTGGCTGATTTTTTCTTTAGTGGAAGGCATGGTAAAATACAAGGTTACCAAATTCAAAAGACAGTGCAACATTTGCCCAATGTTATAACGTATTCCTGGGGCAAATTTGCTGTAGCAAAACATAATCTCAATAAAGTGAGTTTTGAAATTGAATAATCTGTTCTTCTATAGCACTCTTGTCTTGGTGTTCTACTAGAAAGAAGACTAAAGTCAAGAATCAATGAAAATAGAGCAAGGCAATTGAGAGCTTGTCTCTGTGTCCTTCTGCTCCTCTGCCCACCTTCCTTCACCACATAAGTAGGTGGCTCTCTGTAACTCACCTTTTAAAATGACACTGCCCTTCCACCTCAGTCATGTCCATAATCCTGCTTATATTCAGCTGTGTCATCCTTTAAAAAATTAAATGTACCAAACAAATAAACAAACAAAAATACCGTATCAAATGCTGAGTTTAGTGAACCCGAAGAGATCCTACAGACCATCACATCTAAAACCCTCATTTCACCCAAGAGGAAATCCAGGCTCAGAAATGATTAGTGAACTAACCCAAAGTCATTGGGCTAAATCTAAATCAAAACCAAATCCAAGCTCCCTGAATTTCAAAACACCCCACCACATTGCATTCTATTTTAGAAAGTTATCAGGAAGAGATATCGTCATGGCAATGGGACTAGAGGATAACTTTAAAGATATTATTCAGTTTACAGTTTAGATCCAGTTAAAATTTGGAAAATGATGTATTAGAAAAGAAAAAGTATTTACAATGTTTTATATGGTTTTCGTTGTTGTTAATCCTCACTGTTCTCTCACAGAACCAGGTGAATGACAAAACTTTTTCTTCCCTGCATTGAAAATGATATATAACCTGTCTGACAGGGAAGGTATCAACAATAACTTAAGAATTGTCCTATATATTCAAAAGATAAACTTAATTAGCCAATTCAAAAAATACTTCAAAATAGAAATGCTGTCAGTAAAACAAAGACTATTAGATAGCAATTACCTTCTACCTCAACCTGGGATACTTCCGACCATATCAATACTATCACTTCGCAGACCAGGCATTTAATAGACAAAATGAACAAATGATTTTTCTGATTACATCAAAAATATAAAGCAGAGCTAAAATAATTTAGCCTCAAATCCATAGCTAGTGGGAGAGAAAATGAAGAAATGGTTACCCTCATCAATTAAACCTGGCTATAAGTGGATACTTAAAATAAAACTATAATTTAAGAAAATCGCACATACGAAGTCATAATTTGGACCTTTATAAGGCATATTAGGTGGAAAGAAGCATTAAGTACAGCTGTAAGTGATATTAATAATAAGGAAATTTTGAATTATAAATATATTTTTATGTAGAAAATATATTTGACGTGCAAAATATTTTTAAAAGCTGGAAAAACTATGAAGATAGGAAAAATGGAAAACCTTGATGTTTATGTTCACAAAGGACTAATTTTTAAAAGCAAACATCTAATTATTAAAAGTTCAAATTAATTATGCTTCACATCTAGAAGTTAGAGTGGTTAAGTGTTGGATGTTAACAGATTAACAATATATGATATTAGTTATACCATTTTGTGCTTAACACCTATGTGTTATACTAAGTGATGTTATTATTGGTAAAACTAGATTGATTTAGGTTTTTATCTGACAACAATGCATATCATACACTCTTGGTTTTATTATTATTACTTATGCAACTGTAATGAAACCTGGAGAAAATATGGAAGTTATTTCAGGCATGAAGCGGGCATTTTATGACGATTTTTGAAGAAGAAGGAATAAAAGAAGAATGTATTCCTAATTCATGCATTCCAAAGCTGCCACTATGGTATTCTGAATCGTCTTGTAATTAATTCTCTCTCTTTCATATTATTCTGAGACTAGTCATTTGGAGAAAATATATAGAACTCCTTGTTTGGCCTTTCTGAATCTATTTTTCACAGTTGCAAAGTACTGGTCAAACAAATTAAATTACTGCAGCAGTATGTAACTAATTTTATGTAAATTAAGGTGTTAATGTTCTGAATCACATTCCTGAAAATGGTCTGTTTTCTCTTGCGGCTTTTCTTCATTAATGATGCTATGAATAGTCAAATCGAAAAATTAATTCCTACAAGACTAAGTGGATAAATTGTTACCCTTTGGCCTTTTGAAGAATTACATCTAAATATAGTTTTATGGTCAGCTCAGTCTACAGTTGTCAGTAGTCCAACCAAATAAATCAACATTTTAAACTTAATGCAACTAGGGGTGAGATGATGTGAAATAAATTCCATGTTGTTTATGTGGAGGGAGATCTTTTAGAGCTAATGGTCAAATTGTTTGATGCAGAATTAGTGCCCAGATGGGACCTTAATGGGCAGTCTTTCTGCTCCCAGTAAAAGGTATCATCTTACTCCAACATCTCTTCTCTGTTTGAACTTCGCAATCTCCACCTCAAAAATGATGCATATGAAGTTATAAAATATCAGTGGAATAAAATATTTATCATTGGATATACATAAGAGAAATTTAAGTCAGAAAAGAAGAGTAAATTTGTCATCTATTGAAATTACTTTCCAAAGCACATAAAGAAAATTAAGGGGTTTTCTTCATTACTTGGCAAACTCATATAACCCATTGCTTGAATTAAAATTGTTTAGTAGAGACAAGCACTTAAATTATTTATCTATTGAAATTTTTATCTAGTATAATAAACATTGGTCTACTTCCTAAAGTGCAGTAAATACAGATAATAGTACAGCACAGGGTTCCAGAAATGCAAGTGATCCTAAGTACTGTTTCTGTGATAGATAGCAGCTTGAATTCCACAAAAATGGCTTTTCCAAAGAAGTCACTATAATTGGGACCAAAATCAAACTTATTTTTAGGTCCGTTTGTTTGCAAAATATTTCCTAACAAGCTTTTTGGCATTCTTGTTAGATCTTCTAACAGATAAATGATCTATAGATAACTCATCTACCTAATTATTCATTTAGATAGAATGAAAAATGCCATCTCATTTTGATTCTTAAATCCACTTCTAAACATACATATTAAATAAAAGAAATAGCAAACAGCATACTACCAATTTTAAAGAAACCTCTCAAATATGAAATCTGGGACTTCTTTAACCAGTTAATATAATAAATTCCAAACTGACCCCTCTCAGGCATCAACGGTTAAAGCACTTACTACTATTAACAGATATCCATATTATAACTGGTCAGATAAAAAAGTAGAAGAAGAATTAGGATGAACTGGGAGTTAACTGATGGGGGAATAACAGTCATGTCCAGAAACCAGGCTGATCTGGAAATTTTACATTCAATACAGTCTAAAGAACCAGACTCTGCCTCTGGCCTGAGCCCATGATAGACTCAACTTGAGGTAAGGGAAGCCATGGAGTAGGCTCTTCAGAGAGTCATGAGAGTTAAAAAGGAAATTATGTAGACTCAACCATGTCTTACTATTTTCCAACTGAGTAAACTCACGTTTGTTTAATAACTTATGAGCTTTGGCATGAGATACATTATTCCGACCACTTGCTTAAATTTTAAAAACTCATTAACATCCTCCAAATGAAATAAATCCCAACAAGTTCTCCAATTGGCTATTGTTTTATTACCAAATGCCTGGAATTATTTTTAAAACTAGCTGCTCTGGGGCTGGAGGGATGTCTGGGGAACTCACTGTGCTCCATAGAGAGGCAGTCAGCTTCTGGCTCATAAACGAGGTCTTGGTTCTAACTGTCCCTCTTCAAGCATTTTTCATACATGAAGTAGAATATTCTGAGACAGGTTGGTTGGGAACTCTTTTTTCTTAAATATATCTAGTTCTTAAAAAATTCAATCATGTCTTTCCAACACTCAGTATTAATAATACTTTATACTTTCATAGCACCTTTTCTTTTCCTACTGCCTTCGAAATACATTAATTCATCCTCTAACCCCTAAGAAATAGATATGATTATATATCTTTATATGCCCACATTACCTAGCATAGACCCTTGATTGAAAACATCTCTTTCTAGTGAAAAGGACACTGCACACAAAATCGAAAGAGGTAGTATCAAGGCCTGGCACTGAGCCATACTGGTATGACTTTGGGCAAACCATTTAATCCCCATGAATATGCTTTCCCATTTTACCACTCTGAGAAATTAAATTTAAAAATAAATATTAAGGACCCTCTTCCATCATAAAATTAATTCATTAATCTATTCAAAAGTATTTTAGCATTAATATGTGCCAGCCATGTGATAAGTGTCGGGGATACCCCATAAACAAGTGTGGTTCCCTCTTGCATGAAACTCAGGGTTCAAGCGGACATTGTACCTTGATGGCTATGAAAGGAAAAGCCACAGTGTGCAAACCTGGTGTGTGGGGTCAGAGGACAGGCTCAACAAAGGCAAAGATCAGCTTACAGTAGGTACTTGAATATATGTGAATAAATATATGATAAAGCCTAGATCAAGATAAAGACTCATTACTTTTCCTAAGGCCAAGCAGAAGTGTATTGAAAGAACTAAGAATCCAGAAATAAAAATTCTTTGGTGTTTTTGTCCAGTACATTATAGCTCCTGAACATTTGATAAATTGATGGATGAATATAGTGGAGGAGATAGTTGCTCATAATTCAGCTAATAGGTAACATCTACTTTCTTTTTTAAAGGCTTTTTTGATATATAATTGATATACCAAATATTGCACATATTTAGTATATACATTTTGATGAGTTTGGACATAGGTATATACCAGTGATACCATAACCAAGGCACAAAAAAATCATGACAATTTAATACAAGTATAGGTGAGAAAGACAAGTGAGACTCAAGGGTAATTGAACCCCTCTTGTGCTCCAGGCATTGTGCTGGGTGTATCTTCACATGCCACTGCTTGGCTTAATCCTGTCAAAATGTTACGAAGATCTCAGCCAGATGATCAAGCTTAACATCAACAATGATAAGTAATATTAATCATATGTGTCCTTGATATGTTATAATGAAAATTGCACTTCTGTGCTCATCT
This sequence comes from Homo sapiens, assembly GCF_000001405.40. Classification (NCBI taxonomy): domain Eukaryota; kingdom Metazoa; phylum Chordata; class Mammalia; order Primates; family Hominidae; genus Homo; species Homo sapiens. The sequence goes on along the minus strand of NC_000015.10, from coordinate 37,342,619 downwards.
TCCCCAAACCCATAATTATGACAAAAACATCAGAAAAATTTTAATAGGGGAGCATCTTACAAATACCTGATCAATAATTCTCAAAATAGTCAAAATAATTAAAAACAATGAAATTCTGAGAAATAATCACAGCCAAGAGTGGCCTAGTGAGACATGACAACTAAATGTAACATGATATCCTTGGTAGGATCCTGGAACAGAAAAAAAGACAATAGGTAAAGCTAAGGAAATGTGAATAAAGTATGGACTTTAGTTGATAATATCAATACTGTTTATTGATTGAAACAAATGTGTCATACTAAAATGAGATGTTATTAAGAGGGAAAATTGGATTTGGGTTTATGGAAACTCCCTGTACTATCTCCTCAAGTTTTCTGTAAAACTAAAATTGCCCTAAAAAATAAAGTTTATTTTAAAGTACATTAGTAAGTTTTAACTATCTCATTTTACATATGAGAAAAATGTAAGTAATTTTTCTCATAGTACATAGCCAGGAAGCCATGATTTGGATGCACGTCTGTCTAAATTCAAATCCCACACTCAGATCAAGGTTCCATGCTATTTCTCCAAAGAACCTGGCTCTGGATCAAGGAAGTGTCAGTTACGATGCCTCACATCATGTTTTATTACTTTCAAATTTCTAGGTGTAGGCATATATAAAAATATTAGAAAAAGAATGCCTATAGCTAGTGAGCTAAATATCATGAATCCCTATGCAAGAGTTTACTGGCCATTTCCTTGAAATAAAGCCTATCTCTGTGATAAATCTTGTGTTTTGAGCTGAGATTTAAACAAACATGAACAGACAAACACACATTCTCATACAGAATGCACACGTACACACTCTCACAAGATATATAGCTAATTAAGTGCATGATTTTAAATGACTGTTAGTTTCTAGAAAGAATTCTTTCCCCAATTAGCATATCAAAGAAAGTCACTCAGTCACTGGGTTCTCCTTATTTTATGTTGTTTATATAATGAAAAAATATGTATGCTCCTTATTATTTCATTGTTAGAACAGTTACATCAAATTAATAGTCAAAGTATCCATACACCAAGCATCCCTGTATTCATTCATTCATTTCCAAGAGAACCTAAATACCATGCAATGTTCTCAAATAAACTTGAACATCAGACATTCATCATAGGTGATTCAAATGGTGTTACAGGCCCAGGATTATGCTACAGATGATGTAACAGGCAAGAAGAGGCATTTCAGCAAAGGAGACTCCATGAGCAAAAAACAAGAAACACAAAAGTAGAGAATCTGTGCCAGGATCGGCAACCAGTTGGTAGAGTATTTAAATGTTCAGATGCCTTAGAACTCTTAGCAAAGATCATTCTGGACAGCTTTATAACCTAAATGTTTTTGCTTCCTTAAGACAGATAATATGCCTTATATTTTAAACTTATATGTGTGTGTTTATTCAATAATTCTAAATCTCAGGTCATATTTACCCTCTCCATGAAAATGTCTGCTAATTTTAAAAATTAGCTGATTTTTTACAGTTGTAAAAAATATAATGGTACTATCTATGAGACTGCGTTTAGTCAAAATGTGAAGAGTTCATGCCCATGCTTGAATAAGTCTAGGGAATTGGTAATTTTATCAACATTTTATTTTTTAATTGTGGTGATGAATAATGAATTGTCAACCCTGGAAACTTTATAGTAGCTAAAGGGCCATCAATATTGCTGGATGCAAAGTTAAACCAACTTTTACAGATGAGAGATGCTTTTAGGATGGCTGTGATGAAATGTATTCTACCAGATGAATTTCTGTGATATGATTGCAAAATGAACCCGTCTCTCTCTCTTTTTTTAAACAGGCAAGGGACGGGGCAGTCAGTCTGAGATTTACACCTGATTTGTGTTATAGTAATCTTTGAAATTAAGAAGTGTATCCTTGCATTTCATTAAATTCTGGCTAATGAGATAACTGTCTTCCCAAGGAGGGAATGATAAAGTACTCAGGCCATAAAGCATAAATTAATACTGCAAGGTTAAACACTGGAACTAACTCATGTTTCAACAAAAGCCCCTACCAGCAGTTAAATTAACTGACATAAATACCATAAAATCTGTCTTTATTTTAGTTTCAGATGATGCTTTTTTTACACCCCTGCTTTCAGTTTGTGTAACTCATTTTTGCACATTATTGCATGCACCATTTGCCATTTAAAGAATCAGCTACAACGGAAAAGATTTAAGGAATCAAATACTCGGAGAGAAAAAAAGAAACTAGTGGATCTGGGGCATATCATACTGAAGATTGTTAACGCCGTTGAAAAATACTACAATAGACAACAGTAGTTCAAAGAAACAGTTAATTATGAGAGGGCCAGCCCAATGAAATCTACTTTTTAAGCTTTTGATAGACATTTAAAAAAAATGCTAAAGAAACCTGTGGTGATAATAGGTTTGATATATATTCTGGCAAAAATTATATCACATTAATGAGGTGGCTTAAAGGGCTCATGCATTTTGTAGGAGGCATTTCAATGTATTAGTATAATTAGCAGTGATGAGAAAACTGTTTGGAACTGAATTACCTCTCACGAGTTCATTTGAGCTATATGAAATTACACCATGCAAGAAGGAAAATTATGGAGCCATCCAGAGAGAGTTCATGCCTGATTTGATCATAGCCACTAATTGGATGATCATTTTCGTAAAGCTTTTCAAATGGTTGACAGTTTCTGCCTCTCATTTTTTTTTTTTAATGGACGAGCTCTTTATTTCTTGTCCTAAGCAACCAAACATAGGTTTGTTAGAGATTTGGGTGTTTCTACAGGGACCTTACAGGTGTAATTGTCACAATCTGAGCAACCTTTGTCCCTTAATTAGCTGCTTTTGGGGAACCCCTAATGAGAGTTGCTGTTCTTGTTAACAATCTTAGAGAATACCTGATGAGTGAAGCTCTCCAAGCCTGACGCATGTCAGCAGCCACCATATGACAGCAATTTAATGAAGTTAAAATCTGCCCCGATTGGGATGGATAGAAGAGCACTTGTGTTGTACTGCTTTTGATTCCTCCGTGTGTGTGTGTGTGTGTGTGTGTGTGTGTAATATGAAGTAGGTGTTCTAGTAAAGGACAACAGGAAAGTGAAGGGTGAGGGTGGAGAAAAGAAGCTTTATGAACCCTCTTCACAAGACAACCAATAGCCAATATCAGAAGAAAATTGAAATAATGAAATTAGCTTCGTATAAATTGCTTTATGTGCACTGCAGGATATAGCAAAGTCTTACAATTCAGGTGATTAGTAAATATACTGTTAGCTCCTTAACTTTTTACTTTTCTTCCATAACTCCAACTTGAATCATTTCCATTTCAGGCATACAAGATTTTCAAACATGCTTCAATTGTGTGAAGTTAAAATTATTATTTAAAAAACATACTTTTCTCATATGTGTGACCTAATAAATCAAACAGTCATTATGAAAATATGTCACTCAATTTGTTGCTGGAAAGGAAGACAACATTATGATAATGATTTTCAATCTGATGGACAAGTTCTCATATTACTAGGAAGAGCCAGATGAGATACAATGCAGCACTGGCGTTTTGTGTGCCTGTGGGTGTGTCCACATGCATGAACAGATGAGCCTGTGTTCAAGTTGGAAAGTGTTGTTCTTTCCCAGGGCCATATATTGTAAGTACTTCTTTCTCTAGACATTTCCACCATGTTTGCAGCTAATAAATATTACAGGACACTTACTCATAAAAACTACTTTTGGAAATACTATTTGCTATCAATATTACAACAACAAATCAAAGAAAGTGAAATAATAATCTCAAAGTTTCGGTGAGTCCTCTGGCTCTCCGCTGGCTTTCCTCTGCCTCCAGTTTTCTCAGGTATACAGAGAAGTTGCTAAATTTAGCCACTTAGAAAGTTGATACCAAATATCTTTATATTAGGAATGGAATATTTCATAAATGTGTTTACTACATTCAAGGAGCATCATTTCAAGGCATCGAAATTGAAATTTCAAAGAGTTAGGATTTAGAGATACTGCCTATTCTGAGATAAGTTAGTTAAATTACTTCAGAGAAAAACAGGTTCCTTAGTAATAAGTGACTGCCATGAATACCTTGGCTTATTCTCATTTTGACATTGTTTTCTCAAATTGGAATGTGTTTTCCTCCGAGTTTCCTGTATTAGTTGCTCATGTTCTTATATTTCTTGTCTTCTGATTTGTATTGATGTAAATTTTCTGAGTCCCTGTCCCCATATTTGATTCGGCTGAATATGAAATTCAGCTGGGTATGGAACTGTAGGTATAAATGATTTTCGTTCAGAACACTGAATGTAATGCAATGTTACTGATGAGAAATCTGATGCTAATTTAATTCTTATTCCTTTATGAGTAACTGGGTTTTTTTCCATAAGGACAAGTTTGATACTCATTACCTTAAGTGTTACTCATCTTTCCTGCTCAACACAGTGAACAATTTCAATCTAATAACAAGTCATTCCTTGGAGCTATTTTCCTTATTCTTTAAAAAAAAAAAAAAAAAGACAACTTTAGTCTCTCTTCCGGTTCAGGTTTTTTTGTCCTCGCTTCTTCCAAACTCTTGTAACATGCACATTGGCCTTCTGGCCACATTTTCTGGTCTCAACCATTTCTCTCTATTTCTTAATCTCTTAATTCTTTAGTTCTGTGGTCCAGGAAATATTTTTCAAAAGCCTTTCTGTTAAATTTCGATTTTTAAAATAATTGTTTCTTGCACATTGATTATGCTTTCTACTTTTGTATTATAAGGGCAGTACCTTCTTCAATCTCTGGAGGATACAAGGTGTTTTTTTTTTTCAAAATTTATGCATCCTGAATTTTCTGTTTTCAATGGAGTTGGGTATTTCTCCCATATTGCATTTTATTTATATAATACAATTATCTGTATAATATAATATTATATATAATACTATATATACACACAATAATATGTAACATCATAAATACTAGATATAATACTGTATATAAAATACAATATTATATATAAGGTATTTGTGTGTATATGTGTATGCATGTGAATAAAGAAAATATCTGTTAATATTAAGAGCTATAGTGAGTTTCGTTGCTATTATCTAGATCTGTTTCTCCAACATGCCTCTCCCCAGCATGGGAGAACTGACCTCTAGCTCTATGTATGTGGGCCAATCTTTAATTTAAATGAATGAGAAAACCACCAGCACAGATCAATATGGGGTTCAGACAAGCCTTTGTAATTTCAAAGAGCTCCCTTTTCTATAGTATTCAATAATACAGTGTCTAACTTGCTATGCTTTCCCACCTCTGTCTCCTCTCCCACTTGGTCTAGACATTTGCTTTCCTTTCTCTTTATTGTCTTTTCCTGCTCAATTATTATTCCATTCCCAAAACTTTCTACTCAGTGTGAGGCCTCCTTCTGGATCAGTCTCCTAGTGGGTCCATTTTCAGCGCTCTGAGGGGCTAGACAGCTTTGGGGCCTTCAGGCCTCCTTACCATGGGCCGCTGGTACTCTGGTCTGTAGCTTTGGTGGTTTGCAGTTTGTTTCCTTCATGCTATTGAATTGAACTTCCACAGTGCTATTTCTATTCTGCTCTTTATTTACTCCAGAGAAGACTTAAATTTTGCTGTAACATTCTTAGTCTGCTTAAGTCTTTTCACTCTTCTCAGTTTTTATTTTAACTTGTCTTTTTCCCTTATAACTTTCTTTTTATGTTTTGTAAGGGCCAAATATTCCTTCATCATCTTGAGACTGCAAACATTTTTCAATATTTTCTTTTTTTGTGTTGTTGTTGTTCTTAGTTCTTTATTTTCTTTTATATATATATATTTTTTATTATACTTTAAGTTCTAGGGTACCTGTGCACAATGTGCAGGTTTGTTACATATGGATACATGTGCCGTGTTGGTGTGCTGCACCCATTAACTCGTCATTTACATTAGGTATATCTCCTAATGCCATCCCTCCCCCCTACCCCCATCCCACAACAGGCCCCGGTGTGTGATGTTCCCCTTTCTGTGTCCAAGTGTTCCCATTGTTCAGTTCCCACCTATGAGTGAGAACATGTGGTGTTTGGTTTTTTGTCCTCCCGATAGTTTGCTGAGAATGGTTTCCAGCTTCAACCATGTCCCTACAAAGGACATGAACTCATCATTTTTTATGGCTGCATAGTATTCCATGGTGTATATGTGCCACATTTTCTTAAACCAGTCTATCATTGTTGGACATTTGGGTTGGTTCCAAGTCTTTGCTATTGTGAGTAGTGCCGCAATAAACTTTGGTTTACTGAAAACAAATATTTTCAAAGTCTTCTGTGACTTCTCTTCTTCACTATTCTTTTCATAATCTCGAATCTGGATTTTTCCTTCAAACCAGTTGGAAACTACCTCAGCTTCCCTCTATGAAATATAAACATGTACCTGTATCTGCATCCCTATTTTTTCTATATCACCGGTATTAATTTTATGTTTTTTTAGATGAAGTTTCGCTCTCGTCACCCAGTCTGGGGTACAGTGGTGCGATCTCGGCCCACTGCAACCTCCGCCTCCCGGGCTCAAGTGATTCTCCTGCCTCAGCCTCCAGAGTAGCTGGGACTACAGGCGCCCGCCACACACCCGGATAATTTTTGTATTTTTAGTACAGATGGGGTTTCACCATGCTGGCCAGGCTGTTCTCGAACTCCTGACCTCAGATGATCCACCTGCCTCAGCCTCCCAAAGTGCTGGGATTACAGGTGTGAGCCACCACACCCAGCCTCTGCTTTTAATTTTTATAAAGCATCTGTTCTCTACAAGGTGAAACTCTCCACGTCTGATCTATATCCTATCTCCTGCCAACTTCTCAGAAGTAGGCATAACTAATTAAGGTCTCTGTCTCTGCTATATCCCCAAGAAGTCTACCAGAGCCAACATCCCTAGGTTTTTCACCTTCACAGACTTTTTAGAAACATTGTCTGTCTTTCCAGTCTGCATTTCTGAAACCATCACTTGGTCCTTAGTCCATCTCAGGCTGGCTTCTGTTCCTCCACTCCATCAAAATTGCATTCATCCAAGAGAGCAACAATCTCCCTCCTTCTAATTGGCTATTTTTCACTCATTCCTCTTAACTTCTCAGCAGAATTTAAAATGCAGTTTACTACTCCATTCTTCTTGAAACACGTTTTAGTCTTGCCAGAGAATTTTCTGCCTATATTCTTCATCCTTATGTCTATTTAGGTCCTTGGTATTTGCAATATTGATTGCAATATGCTTTACATATTAAAAGTACTAGCATTTCATCTGTGACAGGAGACATTTTACGAAAGAAATATAGAAGATCACTTGTCAACATAAATATATATAAACCAATTTCACAAACTCAGAAGAGAGCTACAAAAGAAAAATTTTCAAGAAAATACTTTTCCATTTCAAAAGTATGCATTTCTACTAAACTTTACAGTCCTGTAAACTAAATCGAATGAACTATATGCACAGACATTAATTGTTAGTATTTCTTCTTGGGAAAATAGACTATTGTTTGGCAACTTATCATTCTAGTATACTAATTATACTAGAAAAATCCCTTACTTAACCATGCACCTTACTATGAGAAAAATAAGTAGAGAAAATATTTAGCAGATATAATCAATTGATAAGAAATATTTACCAACTTCCATATTGCTGTAATGAATATTATTGTTCAGTCCTATGGAAAGGGATCAATTCAGGAGTAAAAGCAAAGCTTTTAGAAAAAAATAAGTAGAGTAGATTGATGTTTCATAGATAATCAACAGTCTCTTCTTTAAGAGCTATACATGAAAACTGCTTATTCATTAGCACTAGCCTCACAGAAGTTTGTGAAGAGAAGGAAGTTTGACTCCCTCTTTACTCTGCAAACTCAACATATTTTCTGTGGTATCCAATACTCCTATTGCTCTCCACATGTTTTTTTTTAATTTAATATAGATCAAAGTATTAGTATTTTTTCTTGCATTCTTCAGAGTAAGAATAAACAACTTTAGAGAACACAGAATTACATAATTATTTGGGTTTTTTTCTTCATAGTCCTCTTAGTTAATGCAAATAACTTCCAAATGCACACATAAAAGTCAATAACAATCATAACTAACTAGTATATAATGAACTATTAATATGTATATTAAATATACAATGGTACTTTATAAGTAGCTTAGTTTATATATATATATATATATATATATATATAATGATATCTGTTCTTCACTGTAATCTCATGAAATAGTATTATTAAAATCTCCATCTTAAAAACAAGATTCAGAGATAATGGTATACCAAAGGTGACATACCTTGTAAGGGGGCAGGTTCAAGACTTGAAGCAAGATCTGCTGACTCCAAAGGTTGTGATATTTCCATTTGGACATGCAGTAAAGGGCTTCAACCAGCAGGAACTTAAAAAGGTAAAAGTAATATGGGAAAAAATAATATTTGCCTATTCTGCATCTGTTCTCTTTTTTAATAGCAGAAAGCGGCAATCCTCACAGCAAAAAGACTGCATTTCCCATTCTCCCTGCTGAGAGGCGAATGTAAATAATGAATTGGAGTACCTGGAAGGCTGACTCTCCTGGGATATATGCTTCTTTGGGCCCTTTCCGTTCCTCTTTCTTGCTGCGTGAAATACTCCCATAGCCAGCAACCTTGGTCCATGTGGTAGACTTGAGTACATGAACCATGTGCTAAGGATAACGGATAAAAATATAGAGTCATCATAGCACCTCTAGCCTGCTTAACCTCTTGACTTTTTTTTTTTTTTTTTTGACAGAGTCTCACTCTGTCGCCCAGGCTGGAGTGCGGTGGCACGATCACGGCTCACTGCAAGCTCCACCTCCTGGGTTCACGCTATTCTCCTGACTCAGCCTCCTGAGTAGCTGGGACTACAGGCGCCTGCCACCACGCCTGGCTAATTTTTTGTATTTTTAGTAGAGACGGCATTTCACTGTGTTAGCCAGGATGGTCTCGATCTCCTGACCTCATGATCTACCCACCTAGGCCTCCCAAAGTGCTTATATTACAGGCATGAGCCACCGCACCCAGCCAGCCTCTTGACTTCTTTTATGTGGAGAATAAGTCCTTGTGTTTCAGCCACTATTATTTGTACAGCCACTATTATATATACAACTAAAATACTCCTCATCGATACAGATATATACTACCTCCTTAAATGAGAAAAAAAATTCATGGATTGTAAATGAGCAGCACCAAGATAATCTTCCAAAAATATTGCCTCGGGCTATGTTGTCAAAGCAGAAAGCACCATTTTGGGGTAACAATAAAATTATGATATTTAAAGTTTGTTAGGAAAAGAATTGGATGCTTTGTGGTAATTAGCATCAGGAAAGTTTATGTACAGCAGTCATACTCCTGGCAGAAAGCTGGTGGGTAGATTGACATACTTAAGACAGGTATTTAAGAATGAGGCTGCTGTGCATGCAGAAATAGCCTCAGACAGTTCATGCTCCTGAGGACAAACGATGTTTTGTTATTATGCTTAATCTGTGATGAAATCAGTGAAGGCATTGTAGTAAGAAGCAAAACCATGGGGATGCTATTAAGAGTTTAGTAAGTCTAGTTTGTGTGGGAATATGGATTCCACTTACCAAAAAAATAGCATATAGGGAAAGAAAGAAAGAAGTTACTGTCATTGTTTTGAATTGTTCCTGAGCTATTCTATTGTGTCATGAATTTTAAGTCAAATTTCTTGTTATTAGTATTCATTTTATTAGTGTGATGTATGTGTACTGCCACAATATTACTATAATAAAATAATATGATATTATGAGTTGTCTTCTACTGATCTAAAGTAATGCTTGTAAATCATGTAGCAAAAATACACATCAAAGTGAGAGGCAGAGAGTGAGAGAGAGAGGAAAGGGGGGAGAAGAGAGATACTGATTCTTTCCCATTAGCTCAAGTTCTTAAATACCTAAGTTATTTTCTTGGTTAATAACACACTGTCTATCAGTACTCCTTTGCTTATAGGTCATAATTGTCATGTTCAATTTTAATCTCTAGCATATTCTCTCAGAAGTAATTTTTAATCCAGCATTATCCTAGTGTTTACTGTTCACCCAACTGGACACCTGAGTTTGGTTGTAATAATCATATGAAATCCACATAATTCAGATATCTATCTATAAAAATACCTAGAAGTCCTCTTTGATTGTTTTAGGAAGAAAACCACAGAATTATGTGACAATGACCTCATCTAAATCTACACTCTGGAATAAGAACTCCATATTTATTTCTAGACAATTAACTCAGGCATATTTACATATAACAAATTATAAATGGCACAAAATAGGATTATCTTAGGAATTTCTAGTTCCTCTTTATCAAGAACCTGAGAAAATAATTTCTCCACAGGAAATGTCTCGTTTCTGGTTTAGCGTGGATTTTTTTCAATGTTCAGCTGACATTCTTCTGGTCAGCGACAGTGGGCTCAAGTGTTGTTGCACTGTGTTCACGTGATACAATAAATGAAGACTATGGTCTTGAAATATGGGTCAGAATTAGAATGAAGGAAAGGAAATGGCATTCCAAGCAACACAAGCATCTTAAGCAAATTCACATAGTGAAAAAAAAGAGTGGTATGATTATTACACAGAGAGATTACTGGCCAGACTGGACAACATACTCATATTATGTGATAGTTGCGGCCAAATTTGAAGAGTTAGAACAAAAATCTTACATGACAAACATTGTAAGTAGGCTTGCTATTGTAAGTAACAGAAGGTTTTCTAGGTGTTAGAGAAAAGGGCCCCATGACAAAGACGGTATTTTTCAAATGCTGTCTCATTTGTGCAGAGGTTAGAATGAAATTGAAAAGACTGTTTTAAGGGAAGTTTCAGCCAAGAAGAATTTTGTCGTTAATTCGAGTATTCTGAGGAAGAACTCAAACTATGTAGGAAAAAATAGGAAAGCACAAATTATACAAGCAAGAATTCATTCCATTTAGTCATTTTACCAAATGAGAAAAGGTTATGATGGCAGAGTAAGAGAAGCTACAAGTGGCACTTTAGTAAGGTTGTTTAATATACCTATTATTTTTAATTTAAGAAAGAGAGAAGTCATAGTGTACCTTAGAGTCTACATATATTTTAAACGAATGGCATACAAAACTCTTACAGGTTTTATTTTGTTTTGTCATGTAGGCTAGAAATAGAAGCATCTGTTTAGATAGACACTAATTTTTCGGTCTGATGATTTATGTATCTTGGGGGAATTTTGTTATAAATGACTGCAAAAGTTCATAGCGGGTCTATATAAAATCATCAAATCAAATTGAAACCAAAGCTTCTACCTTCCTCATCACTCTTGCCGTACAGAAAAATATTTTCATTTGAGTGACATCATTAGGGCACACTAGAAATATGATGGGAATTACAGTTCATATCATTTAATGACCACAGAAGACTAACTGCTGAATAAGAAGACAGACTTTTTTTCTATTTTTCCTGAAAGGGTAAACCAGGTGGGTAAGACCTTTAGCCAACCTGTGTTTCACCAAATCATCTCCCAACCAATTTCATCCCCAGCAGCTAAAAAAAAGAACCTAGCAAAGGAACTAACAGTGATTAACTTGCTCTCTCATCCCACCAGTTGTAAAAATATATTTTATACATTACATACTGATGCTCTTTGATGTTACACAAGAAGGAATATGTGCTTGATAAGTGGCATTACACATTCATTTCTAAAAGTAGTGTCTTGGAAAAGCTGTCAAGTTTATCAAAAATAGGAAAGATTTTACATTCTAGACTGAGTCTTCTATAGAAGGAAATTGCTCAGTGTTGGAAGTGATCGGGTTAGCAATTATCCCATTTCCCTGTTTCATTTTCTCCAAGCACTTATCACCCTTTGATGTGTTATGCATTTTAATTATTAATTGTTGGCTTCTCACCATGAGAATGAAAACTCCATGAGGACAGGTGTTTTTGTGACACTATGGATACTTGTCTCAAAGAATCTACTCACATCCTGAATATGAGTCCCACAGTACGAAATTATGGGCAGCTGCTACATTGTAACACTTGAGTGAATAATGTGTGGCATTAATAACCATGATTTTGAGCCATGATTTTGAGGGGACACTGTTGTGTCTACATATTTAGACAATACAATTATTCTACTTCTTATATAGCCTAATTGCAATATTAAAGCTCTGGGAAAAATTAAAATCTGGGCTTTTCCATTTTAATATTGTGAGTTGATAATGCCATTATAACCTGCTGTTATAAATGTTCTCACATGACTTTCCGTGTAAATGCTCTTACATGACTTTCTTTGTATAGTCTGAGAGCTCTTATACAATCAATTTTGAGAACTATGATAAGCAATCCAATAAAAAGTGTTTAGAGTGACTTAAAAGGCAAGTAGATTCTCAAATGTTTCTATTGCTTTCACTGGTTGTTTTTGCAAGTTGCTTCTTCAGAAATTTCCAAGAATTTCAATATTACCCATAGTGCAATTCCACCATTGACCTATATGGTGTAAGATGACAGGCAAGTATCTAGACTAATAGAATTAAGTGGTAAGCAGGATAGAAACTGAGGCATTGAAGAGAAAATAGGAAGAACATTTTATTTCTAAGAGCTAGTAACTAGATGGAAAAATGAAAAAAAATGTTACTGACAAAAATCTGACATTTATAAAGAGTACTGTATCTTGATTCAGATGACCAAGTACTGATAATTATTTAGGAGCTTCTTCTAGATTCTCGCCTCCTACTGGGCCAATTTAGGTAAATATGCTCAGTATTTTGCCTTATTTTTGTTTTATTTTACTTTCAAAACACTCCTTCTCTCTGAATTTTCTATAGTCTTATTTTTATTGCCCCAATAGACAATTAGTCATGCCCCTAAGAAGCCCAGTTCAGAGTGTAATGTTATTATATTGATAGTTATTTCCCTGTTATTAGTAATCAAAAAAATCTATCTTTATATTCTCTAAAGTCATTGGATTTTTGTATCTTTGAATGAAAGTTCACCATCTTTTTTCTTCATTAATAAAAACAAAAAATAAATTTAAAATAAAGTCATTTTACAAAGCCACAAACTAGTTAAAAGGAAACATTAGTTCTACTTGTGATTATTTGGCCTGACAGAGACTTGTAGTGCAAAAAACAAAGGAATGAGAAATCATAAATATCATTCTATTTGTTTGGGAGATGAGATTTAGAACTTATATTTCAATATAGGTGACACTGATTTTCTGAATATTTAGAGGCCCTCGAGGAAATCAGTTCTGCATTGGATCTAATTCAACAGAGACAAGAAAGTGGTTAGCTTTGCTTTCACCTCTCTACTCTTTTCTGCATATTATAAATAGCATTACCATTTTTTCTAATACTAAACAATAATTTCAGATAAATTACTCTCTCTTAAGTGTACTAAATTACTTTTATTTGCCTTTGTTTTTATTTCAATAATTTTTTGAGGAACAGGTGGTCTTTGGTTAGATGAATAAGTCTTTAGTGGTGATTTCTGAGATTTTGGTGCACACATCATCCAAGTGTACTGAATTACTTGATCCTAGTTTGAGGCTAGAGAACAAAAGTGGTAAGAAATCTGTGTTTCAAGGTTAAGCATTTATATTTCTTGAGCACCAGACATTCTCTTACTCAAATTGTTTGTTTGTTTGAAAGGGGGGGCAATGATATTTTGTAGTTTTAAATTTACTTCTTTTTCTTCCTGAGATTCTAAATTGCTTCACCAAGTTTATTAGTAATTGGTTTTTCTTCTCTCTTGAACAAGTGTTTATGTAGTTTGCTTATTTTAAAATTGAGTGTTTGTGTTTTATTATTGATCAATAAAAGCTTGTTACTCACTATGAAAGTTTATCAACTCAAGATCTGTTACAAATTTTTATAGAGATCGATATAGATATATATTTATCAGCACTTTTTCCCTACACCTCTATCAGTGAGGTCATTTTTTACATTTGTAATACAATTGGATTCTTTTCTCACATTCTGCATTCCATTATGGGATCCTCTTACCTCTTCAATTCTTTTTAATTTGCATACATTATGATTTACTCTTTGTACTATAAAGTTCTATGGGCTTTGACAAATGCATAGTATATCCACATTACTATAGCATACAATATATTTTTATCATACTAAAAATCTCCTGTGCTTTATTTATTCAACCCTCCTCCTTCCCCAAGCCCCTGGCAATCATTGACACATTTACCTTTTACACAGTTTTACTTTTCCAGGTTATTTAGCCTGTTCATACTGGCTTCTTTCACTTAGCATTTATAGTTAATTCATGTTTATATGAGGCTTGATAGTTCATATCTTTTTATCACTAAATAGTATCCCATTGTGTAGATGTATCACAGTTTGTTTATCCATTCACCCATTGAAAGACATCTTGGTTACTTCCAGTTTGGGGAATTTACGAATAAAGCTGCTATAAACATTTATGTGCAGGTTTTGTGTGGATATAAGTTTCCAAAGTCGTTGGGCAAACGCCTAAGAGTATGATTGCTGAGTCATTTAATACGGCTGTATTTAGCTTTGTAATGAAGAACTAAACTGTTCTCCAGGAGGGTTGGGCCATTTTTAATTCTCATCAGGAATAAATGTTAGTTTTTCTAGTTCCACATCTTTACCTGCCATGGGTGTTGTCAGGTTGCTTCTGTTTTGTTTTGTTAAATTTTAACAATTTTAAAAGATGTGTGATAGTATCTTGGTGTTTTAATTAGCGTTTGTCCAGTGATAAATGATGTTGAAAATCTCTTTATACGCTTATTTGCCAACTGTATTTTCTTTTGTGAGGTATCCGTTCAGATCTTCTGACAGTTTTTAATTGGTTTACTTGTTTCACTATTGTTAAGGTTTAAGATATTTCCATATATTTTGGGTGCAAGTTCTTTATCAAATTTGTAATGTCCAAATGTTTTCTCCCACTCTGTGACTTATCTTTTCATTCTCTGTTAAAAGAATGAAAAGGAAGAGGAAATGTTTTTAATTTTAAGTTAAACTTACCAATTTTATCTTTCATGGCTCATCATTTCGGTGTTGTATCTAAAAACTTATCCCCAAACCCCATGTTGATTTTTTCTTATATTTTCTTTTATTACAGTTTTTTATGTTGTATTAATGTAATGAACTCTTTTGAGTTTATTTTTTAAGTAAGGAATAGATTTGCCTACAAATACCCTTTTTTTGAAAAAGACTTATTCTTTCTCTATTAAATTGCCTTTATACCTTTGTCAAAAATCAGTTGAGTATATTTATGTGAATCTATTACGATACTTTCTGTTCCATTCTATTGATGATCTGTGTGTGTATTCTTAGGCAAATACTATGCTGTCTTGATTACTATAAATTTATAGAAAGTCTTGAATTTGGGTAGTGTGAGTCCTCCAACTTTGTTTTTCTTTATTATTGTGTTGACCACGCCAGGCTCTTTGCCTTCCTACATACATTTGAGCATCAATTTGTTGATATCTACAAAACAGCTAGCTAGGATTTTTTTGGGATCATGTTGAACCTATGGATCAAATTGGGAAGAATTGACATTTTAATAATAATCTTCTAGTCTCAAAATGAATTCGGATGACATCACACCCCGGGGCCTGTCAGGGGCTGGGGGACTAGGGGAGGGATAGCATTAGGAAAAATACCTAATGTAGATGACGGGTTGATGGGTGCAGCAAACCACCATGGCACATGTATACCTATGTAACAAACCTGCACATTCTGAAAATGTATCCCAGGACTTAAAGTATAATAAAAAAAATTTTTTTAATGAATTAAGATGGAATGAATTCATAATATCTATTTATTTCAATCTTATTTTATTTCTCTCATCAGTGTATTGTACCTATCTTCATACAAATCCGATACATATATTATTATATTTGTATACTTAAATGCTTTATTTTTTGTGTGCTGTTGTAAATAATAGGTTTTTTTAAATTTCAAAGTATCATTAATCATTGTCAGTATGAAGGAAGGCCATTGACTTGTATTTGACTTTGTAGCCTACTACCTTGCTGTATTGCTTGCTAATTCCAGGAATTTTTTATAAATTTTTTGTGGTTTTCGACATAAACAATGGCCTTATATGTGAATAAAAATCTTATTTTTACTTTTCAATCTGTATAACTTTTTTTTTCCTATCTTAGTATGCTCATTAGAACTTTAAGTACCAAGTTGAATAGGCATGGCAGGAGAGGTTGTCTTTGCCTTTTTGTCAATCTTCATATGTCTCTTTTTTCCTTTACCAACCTGTCTAGAAGTTCATTGATTTTATTGATCTTTTTTAAAAAACCAGCTTATGATTTTGTGGATTTCTCTATTTTTTCCTATTTTCAATTTCACTAATTATCGCTCTAGTTTTCTTTTTTCTACTTGCTTTTGGAATAAATTGCTCATCTTTCACAAACTTCCTAAAATGTAAGATTAGATTATTAATTTTACATCTTCCTTCTTCTCTAATGTATACATTTAATGCTATAAATGTTCTTTTAGCACTACTTTGGCTCATCCCACAAATTTTGATAAGTTGTATTTTCATTATAGTTTTATTCAAAATAATTTTTAATTTCTCGAGACTTTTTTTTTTTTTTTTTGAGACCGAGTCTAGCTCTGTCGCCCAGGTTGGAGTGCAGTGGCGCGATCTCCGCTCACTGCAAGCTCCGCCTCCCAGCTTCACGCCATTCTCCTGCCTCAGCCTCCTGAGTAACTGGGACTACAGGTGCCCGCCATCACACCCAGCTAATTTTTTTTTGTATTTTTTTTGGTAGAGACGGGGTTTCACCGTGTTAGCCAGGATGGTGTTGATCTCCTGACCTCGTGATCCACCCGCCTCAGCCTCCCAAAGTGTTGGCATTACAGGCATGAGCCACCGCGCCGAGCCCTATGTGCCACATTTTCTTTATCCAGTCTATCATTGATGGCCATTTGGGTTGGTTCCAAGTCTTTGCTATTGTGAGTACTGCTACAATAAACATATGTGTGCATTTATCTTTATAGTAGAATGATTTATAATCCTTTGGGTATATACCCAGTAATGGGATTGCTGGGTCAAATGGTATTTCCAGTTCTAGATCCTTGAGGAGTCACTACACTGTCTTCCACAATGGTTGAACTTATTTACAGTTCCACCAACAGTGTGAAAGCATTCCTATTTCTCCACATCCTCACCAGCATCTATGGCTTCCTGACTTTTTAATGAACACCATTCTAACTGGGGTGGGATGTTATCTCATTGTGGTTTTGATTTGCATTTCTCTAATGACCAGTGATGGTGAACTTTTTTTTATATGTTTTTTGGCCACAAAAATGTCTTCTTTTGAGAAGTGTCTGTTCATATCCTTCGCCCACTTTTGCATGGGGTTGTTTGGATTTTTTTCTTGTAAATTTGTTCAAGTTCTTTGTAGATTCTGGATATTAGCCCTTTGTCAGACGGATAGATTGCAAAAATTTTCTCCCATTCTGTAGGTTGCCTGTTCACTCTGATGGTAGTTTCTTTTGCTGTGCAGAAGCTCTTTAGTTTAATTAGATCCCATTTGTCAATTTTGGCTTTTGTTGCCATTGCTTTTGATGTTTTAGACATGAAGTCTTTGCCCAAGCCTATGACCTGAATGGTATTGCCTAAGTTTTCTTCTAGGGTTTTTATGGTTTTAGGTCTTACACTTAAGTCTTTAATCCATCTTGAATTAATTTTTGTATATATGGAGTAAGGAAGGGATCCAGTTTCAGCCTTCTACATATGGCTAGCCAGTTTTCCCAGCACCATGTATTAAATAGGGAGTCCTTTCCCCATTGCTTGTTTGTGCCAGGTTTGTCAAAGATCAAATGGTTATACATGTGTGGTGTTATTTCTGAGGCCTCTGTTCTGTTCCATTGATCTATATATCTGTTTTGGTACCAGTACCATGCTGTTTAAGTTACTATAGACTTGTAGTATAGTTTGAAGTCAGGTAGCCTGATGCCTCCAGCATTGTTCTTTTTGCTTAGGATTGTCTTGGCTATGTGGGCTCTTTTTTGGTTCCATATGAATTTTAAAGTACTTTTTTCCAGTTCTATGAAGAAAGTCAGTAGTAGCTTGATGGGGGATAGCATTGAATCTATAAATTACCTTGGGCAGTATAGCCATTTTCACGATATTGATTCTTCCTACCCATGAGCATGGAATGTTTTTCCCTTTGTTGGTGTCCTCTTTTATTTCATTGAGCAGTGGTTTTTAGTTCTCCTTGAAGAGGTCCTTCACATCCCTTGTAAGTTGGATTCCTAGGTATTTTATTCTTTTTGTAGTAATTGTGAATGGGAGTTCACTCATGATTTGACTCTCTGTTTGTCTATTATTAGTATATAGGAATGCTTGTGTTTTTTTGCATATTGCTTTTGTATCCTGTGACTTTGCCGAAGTCACTTATCAGCTTAAACAGATTTGGGGCTGAGACAATGGTGTTTTCTAAATATAAAATCATGTCATCTGCAAACAGGGACAATTTGACTTCCATTTTCCTAATTGAATACACTTTATTTCTTTCTCTTGCCTGATTGCCCTAGCCAGAACTTCCAACAATATGTTGAATAGGTTGAATAGGAGTGGTGAGAGAGGGCATCCTTATCTTGTGCCGGTTTTCAAATGGAATGCTTCCAGTTTTTGCCAGTTCAGTATGATATTGGCTGTGGGTTTGTCGTAAATAGCTCTCATTATATTGAGATACATTCCATCAATACCTAGTTTATCAAGAGTTTTGAGCATGAAGCGCTGTTGAATTTTGTCAAAGGCTTTTTCTGCATCTATTGAGATAATCATGGTTTTTATCATTGGTTCTGTTCATGTGATGAATTACATTTATTAATTTGCATATTTTGAACCAGGTTTGCATCCCAGGGATGAAGCCAACTTGATGGTGGTGGATAAGTTATTTGATGTGCTGCTGGATTTGTTTTGCCAGTATTTTATTGAGGATTTTCACATCGATGTTCATCAGGGATATTGGCCTAAAATTCTCCTTTTTGTGTTGTGTCTCTACCAGGCTACGGCATCAGGATGATGCTGCCCTCATAAAATGAGTTAGGGAGGATTCCCTCTTTTTCTATTGATTGAAATCGTTTCAGAAGAAATGGTACCAGCTCCTGTTTGTACCTCTAGTAGAATTCGGCTGTGAATGTGTCTGGTCCTGAACATTTTTTGGTTAGTAGACCATTATTGCCTCAATTTCAGAACATGTTATTGGTCTATTCAGAGATTCAACTTCTTCCTGCTTTAGTCTTGGGAGGGTATATGTGTCCAGGAATTTAGCCATTTCTTTGAGATTTTCTAGTTTATCTGCATAGAAGTGTTTATAGTATTCTCTGATGGTAGTTTGTATTTCTGTGGGATTGGTGGTGATATCCCCTTTATCATTTTTTATTGCCTCTCTTTGATTCTTCTCTCTTTTCTTCAAGTCTTGCTAGCGATCTATCAATTTTGTTGATCTTCTCAAAAAACAAACTCCCGGATTCATTGATTTTTTGAAGTTTTTTTTGTGTCTCTATCTCCTTCAGTTCTGCTTTTAGTTACATCTTGCCTTCTGCTAGCTTTTGAATTTGTTTGCTCTTGCTTCTCTAGTGCTTTTAATTATGATGTTAGGGTGTCGGTTTTATATCTTTCCTGCTTTCTCTTGTGGGCATTTAGTGCTATAAATTTCCCTCTACACACTGCTTTAAATATGTCCCAGAGATTCTAGTATGTTGTGTCTTTGTTCTCATTGGTTTCAAAAAACATCTTTATTTCTGCCTTAATTTCATTATTTACCCAGTAGTCATTCAGGAGCAGGTTGTTCAGTTTCCTTGTAGTTGTGTGGTTTTGAGTGAGTTTCTTAATCCTGAGTTCTAATTTGATTGCACTGTGGTCTGAGAGACAGTTTGTTATGATTTCCATTCTTTTACATTTGCTGAGGAGTGTTTTACTACCATTTATGTGGTTAATTTAAGAATAAGTACAATGTGGTGCTGAAAGGAATGTATATTCTGTTGATTTGGGGTGGAGAGTTCTGTAGATGTCTATTAGGTCCACTTGGTGCAGAGCTGAGTTCAATTCCCGGATATTCTTTTTAATTTTCTGTCTCGTTGATCTGTCTAATATTGCCAGTGGGGTGTTAAAGTCTCCCACTATTATTGTGTGGGAGTCTAAGTATCTTTGTAGGTCTCTGAGAACTTGCTTTATGAATCTGGATGCTCCTGTATTGGGTGCATATATATTTAGGATAGTTAGCTCTTCTTAGTGAATTCATCCCTTTACCATTATGTAGTGGCCTTCTTTGTCTCTTTTGCTCATTGTTGGTTTAAAGTCTGTTTTATCAGAGACTAGGATTGCAACCCCTGCATTTTTTTGCTTTCAATTTGCTTGGTAGATCTTCCTCCATCCCTTTATTTTGAGCCTATGCATCTTTGCACGTGAGATGCATCTCCTGACTACAGCACACCAATGGGTCTTGACTCTTTATCCAATTTGCCAGTCTGTGTCTTTTAATTGGAGCATTTAGCCCATTTACATTTCAGGTTAATATTGTTATGTGTGAATTTGATCCTGCCATTATGATGTTAGCTGGTTATTTTGCCTGTTAATTGATGCAGCTTCTTCATAGCATCGATGGTCTTTACAATTTGGCATGTTTTTGCAGTGGCTGGTACCGGTTGTTCCTTTCCATGTTTAGTACTTCCTTCAGGAGCTCTTGTAAGGCAGGCCTGGTGGTGACAAAATCTCTCAGCATTTGCTTGTCTGTAAAGTATTTTATTTCTCCTTCACTTATGAAGCTTAGTTTGACTGGATATGAAATTCTGGGTTGAAAATTCTTTTCTTTAAGAATGTTGAATATTGGCCTCCACTGTCTTCTGGCTTGTAGGGTTTCTACAGAGAGATCTGCTGTTAGTTTTTTGGGCTTCCCTTTGTGGGTGACCCGACCTTTCTCTCTGGCTGCCCTTAACATTTTTTCCTTCATTTCATCCTTTGTGAATCTGATAATTATGTGTCTTGGGGTTGCTCATCTTGAGGAGTATCTTTGTGGTGTTCTCTGTATTGCCTGAATTTGAATGTTGCCCTGCCTTGCTAGGTTAGGGAAGTTCTACTGGATAATATCCTGAAGAGTGTTTTCCAACTTGGTTCCATTCTCCCCGTCACTCTCAGGTACACCAATCAAACGTATATTTGGTCTTTTCACATAATCCCATATTTCTTGGAGGCTTTGTTTGTTTCTTTTCACTCTTTTTTGTCTAATCTTCGTCTTCCCACTTTATTTCATTAATTTGGTCTTCAATCACTAATATCCTTTCTTCCACTTGATCGAATTGCCTGTTGAAGCTTGTGGTTGTGTCACAAAGTTTTTGTGCCATGGTTTTCAGCTCTGTCAGGTCATTTAAGGTCTTCTCTACACTGTTTATTCTAGTTAGCCATTCATCTAACATTTTTTCTAAGTTTTTAGCTTCCTTGTGATGGGTTAGAATATGATCCTTTAGCTCAGAGAAGTTTGTTTTGACCGACCTTCTGAAGCCTACTTCTATCAACTCGTCAAACTCATTCTCCATCCAGTTTTGTTCCCTTGCTGGCGAGGAGCCGCAGTCCTTTGGAGGAGAAGAGTCACTTTGTTTTTTGGAATTTTCAGCTTTTCTGTTCTGGTTTCTCCCCATCTTTGTGGTTTTATCTACCTTTGGTCTTTGATGTTGGTGACGTACAAATGGGGTTTTGGTGTGAATGTCCTTTTTTATTGATGTTGATGCTATTCCTTTCTGTTAGTTTTCCTTCTAACAGTCAGACCCCTCAGCTACAGGTCTGTCTGGAGGTCTACTCCAGACCCTGTTTGCCTGGGTATCACCAGCAGAGGCTGCAGAACAGCAAATATTGCTGCCTGATCCTCCCTCTGGAAGCTTCATTGCAGAGGGGCACCCGCCTGTTTGAGGTGTCTGTCAGCCCCTACTGGGAGGTGTTTCCCAGTCAGGCTACATGGGGGTCAGGGACCTGCTTGAGGGGGCAGTCTGTCCATTCTCAGAGCTCGAACGCCATGCTGAGAGAACCACTGCTGTCTTCAGAGCTGTCAGACAGGGACATTTAAGTCTGCAGAAGGTGTCTGCTGCCTTTTGTTCAGCTATGCCCTGCCCATA
The DNA here is from genome assembly GCF_000001405.40 of Homo sapiens. Taxonomy (NCBI): domain Eukaryota; kingdom Metazoa; phylum Chordata; class Mammalia; order Primates; family Hominidae; genus Homo; species Homo sapiens. The sequence goes on along the minus strand of NC_000015.10, from coordinate 37,320,505 downwards.
GAGGTGGAATCTATGGAGGCAGTAGGCATTGCTGAGCTGTGGTGGGCTCCACTCAGTCCATGCTTCCCAGCTGCTTTTTTTACACTGTGAGCTACTCAAGGTTCAGCAATGGCAGATGCCCCTACCCACATCAAGCTGCCGTGTTGCACATTGACCTCAGACTGCTGCACTAGCAGTGAGCAAGGCTCTGTGGGCATGGGATCCACCGAGCAAAGCACAGGAGGGTATTTCCTGGTCTGCCAGTTGCTAAGATTGTGGGAAAAGTGCAGTATTTGGTCAGGAGTGTACCGTTTGTCCAGGTACAGTCTGTCACCACTTCCCTTGGCTAGGAAAGGGAAATCCCCCAACCCCTTGCACTTCCCGGGTGAGGCAACGCCCTGCCCTGCTTCAGCTCTCCCTCCATGGGCTGCACCCTCTGTCCAACGAGTCCCAATGAGATGAACCAGGTATCTTAGTTGGAAATGCAGAGATCACCTGTCTTCTGCGTCGATCTCACTGGGAGCTGCAGATTGGAGCTGTTCCTATTTCGCCATCTTGGAAGTGATCCCCCTTAATCCTGAGTTATAATTTGATTGTGCTGTGGTCTGAGAGACTGTTTGTTATTATTTCTGCTCGTTTGCATTTGCTGAGGAGTGTTTTACTTCCAATTATGTGGTCAATTTGGAATAAGTGTCATGTGGTGCTGAGAAGAATGTACATTCTCTTGATTTGGGGTGGAGAGTTCTGTAGATGTCTATTAGGTCTGCTTGGTCCACAGCTGAGTTCAAGTCCTGGATATCCTTGTTAATTTTCTGTCTCGTTGATCAGTCTAATATTGACAGTGGGGTGTTAAAGTCTCCCACTATTATTGTGTGGGAGTCTAAGTCTCTTTGTAGATCTCTAAGAACTTGTTTTATGAATCTGGGTGCTCCTGTATTGGGTGCATATATATTTAGGATAGTTAGCTCTTCCTGTTGCATTGATCCCTTTACCATTATGAAATGCCCTTCTTTTTCTTTTTTGAACTTTGTTGGTTTAAAGTCTGTTTTATCAGAGCCTAGGACTGCAACCCCTGCCTTTTTTTTTTTTTTTTTTTTGCTTTCCATTTACTTGGTAAATCTTCCTCCATCCCTTTATTTTGAGCCTATTCCATCTTTGCATCTGAGATGAGTCTCCTGAATACAGCAAACTATTGGGTCTTGACTCTTTATCCAATTTGCCAGTCTGTATCTTTTAATTGGGGCATTTAGTCCATTTACATTTAAGGTTAATATTGTTAAGTGTGAATGGGATCCTGTGAATACAATGCTAGCTGGTTATTTTGCCCGTTAGTTGATGCAGTTTCTTCATAGTGTTGATGGCCTTTACAATTTGGTATGCTTTTGCAGTGGCTAGTACCGGTTTTTTCTTTCCATGTTTAGTGCTTCCTTCAGGAGTTTGTTTTTTTTTTAAGGCACGCCTGGTGTTGACAAAATCTCTCAGCATTTGTTTGTCTGTAAAGGATTTTATTTCTCCTTCACTTATGAAGCTTAGTTTGGCTGGATATGAGATTCTGGGTTGAAAATTCTCTTCTTTAAGAATGTTGAATATTGTCCCCCACTGTCTTCTGGCTTGTAGGGTTTCTGCAGAGAGATTCACTGTTAGTCTGTTGGGATTCCCTTTGTTGGTAACCCGACCTTTCTCTCTGGGTGCCCTTAATATTTTTTCCTTCATTTCAACCTTGGTGAATCTGACGATTATGTGTCTTGGGGTTGCTTTTCTCAAGGAGTATCTTTGTGGTGTTCTCTGCATTTCATGAATTTGAATGTTGGCCTACCTTGCTAGATTGGGGAAGTTCTCCTGGATAATATCCTGAAGAATGTTTTCCAACTTAGTTCCATTCTCCCCATCACTCTCAGGTACACCAATCAAATGTAGATTTGGTCTTTTCACATAGTCCCATATTTCTTGGAGGCTTTGTCATTACTTTTTATTCTTTTTTCTCTTAGTTTGTCTTCTTTCTTTATTTCATTAAGTTGACCTTCAATCTCTGATATCCTTTCTTCTGCTTGATCAATTTGGCTATTGATACTTGTGCATGCTTCACAAAGATCTCGTGCTGTGTTTTTCAGCTCCATCAGGTCATTTATGTTTTTCTCTAAACTGCTTATTCTAGTTAGCAATTTGTCTAACCTTTTTTTCAAGGTTCTTAACTTCCTTGCATTGGGTTAAAATATGCTCCTTTAGCTCAGTGGAGTTTGTTATTACCCACCTTTTGAAGCCTACTTCTGTCAATTTGTCAAATCGTTCTTTGTCTAGTTTTGTTCCCTTGCTGGTGAGGAGTTGTGATCCTTTGGAGGAGAAGAGACATTCTGCTTTTTGGAATTTTCAGCCTTTTTGCACTGCTTTCTCCCCATCTTTGTGGATTTATCTACATTTAGTCTTTGATGGGGTCTCTGAGTGGACGTCCTTTTTGTTGATGTTGATACTATTGCTTTCTGTTTGTTAGTTTTCCTTCTAACAGTCAGGCCCCTCTGCTGCAGGTCTGCTGAAGTTTGCTGGAGGTCCACTCCAGACCCTGTTTGCCTGGGTATCACCAGCAGAGGCTGCAGAACAGCAAAGATTTCTGCCTGTTCCTTCCTCTGGAAGCTTCATCCCAGAGGGGCCCCCCCCCACCCACCAGATGCCAGCCAGAGCTCTCCTGTATGAGGTGTCTGTCATCCCCTACTGGGAGATGTCTCTGAGTCAGGAGACACGGGGGTCAGGGACCCACTTGAGGAAGCAGTGTGACCCTTATCAGAGCTTGAATACTGTGCTGGGAGATCCGCTGCTCAAGCCTCAGCAATGGTGGACGCCCCTCTCCCCACCAAGCTCAAGCTTCCCAGGTGGACCTCAGACTGCTGTGCTGGCAGCAAGGATTTCAAGCCAGGGGATTTTAGTTTGCTGGGCTCCGTGGGGGTGGGACCCACTGAGCCACACCACTTGGCTCCCTTGCTTCAGCCTCCTTTCCAGGGGAGTGAATGGTTCTGTCTCGCTGGCATTCCAGGTGCCACTGAGGTATGAGAAACAAAAACTCCTACAGCTAGCTCAGTGTCTGCCCAAATGGCCGCCCAGTTTTATGCTTGAAACCAGGGCCCTGGTGACATAGGCACCAGAGGGAATCTCCTGGTCTGCAGGTTGTGAAGACCATAGGGGAAGCACAGTATCTGGACCAGAGTGCACCGTACACAGACCCTCACGGCTTCCTTTGGCTATGGCAGGAGATTTCCCGACTCTTTGTACTTCCTGAGTGAGGCAACACCCCACCCTGCTTCAGTTCACCCTTCCTGGGCTGCACCCACTGTCCAATCAGTCCCAGTAAGATGAACCGGACACCTCAGTTGGAAATGCAGAAATCACCCACATTCTGCATCGATCTCGCTGGGAGCTGCAGACTGGAGCTGTTCCTATTTGGCCATCTTGCCAGCCTATCTCTCTTGAAGTTTTTTTTTTTTTTTTTGACTCAGAGATTATTTTAAAATGTGTTGCTCAATTTTTAGGTATTTGGAGACTTTCCTGTTGTCTTTCTGTAATTAATTTCTAATTGATTCCATTGCTATTTGAAAACATACTTTGGTTTCCACTCTTTTAAGTTTGTTATAGTATATTTTTTGACCCAGAGTATGGTATATTTTTATGAATGTTCCATACGAGCTACAGAAGAATGGAGTTGTTGGCAAGAGTATTCTATAAAAGTCAATTAGATCAAGTCACTTGAGAGTGATGTTAAATCATGTATACCTTTACTGATTTTCTGATGGCTTGATCTATCAATTATTAACAGAGAAGTGCTGAAGTCTTTATAGCAGTGAGTTACTTATAGTTTGATCAGTTTTTGCCTCATATATTTTGATGCTTTCTTGTTAGGTGCATAGATGTTTAGGATTGTTATGTCTTCAATAAAAGTGTCTATAAAGAATTGACACTTGTATTATTACATACTTCCCCCACTTTTAAATTCTCTAATTCTTTATACTTAAAATGGATTTTAATAGATACATAACATATAATTGGGGATTTTTTATCCACTCTAAAAATCTGTCACTTAATTAACATATTTAAACTATTCACATTTAAAGTGATTATTGATCCAGTTAGATTATTATCTACCATGTTTGTGACTGTTTTCTATTCATTACATTTATTTTCTCCTCATTTTTCTGCCTTTGCTGGTGTTATTGAACATTTTACATGATGCTATTTTACCTCCTCACTTAGTGTATCAAATATATATATATATATATATATTTTTTTTTTTTGAGAAGGAGCCTCACTCTGTCACCCAGGCTGGAGTGCAGTGGCGCCATCTCGGCTCTCTGCAAGCTCTGCCTCCTGGGTTCACACAAATCTCCTGCCTCAGCCTCCCGAGTAGCTGGGACTACAGGCGCCCACCACCATGCCCGGCTAATTTTTTGTATTTTTAGTAGAGATGGGGTTTCACCATGTTAGCTGGGATGGTCTCGATCTCCTGACCTTGTGATCTGCCTGCCTCGGCCTCCCAAAGTGCTAGGATTACAGGCTTTAGCCACAGTACCCAGCCTCAAATATATTTTTAAAAAATAGTAGTTGTTCTAGAGTTTATAATATGCAATATGAACTAATTTTAGTACTTTGTATATACTACATTGCTTCATGTGTCTTACATATACCCTATTACAGAGTATCTCCAATTCCTACCTCCTGTTATCTATTTCATTTATCCACATGCTATAATCACTCAATACATTGTTACTATTATTACTTTAAACAAAGAATTATCTTTCAGGACAATTCAGAATTAGAAAAATGAAATATTTTATTTTTCCTCTCTCTGTCTTCTTTTCTTATGTAGGTCCAAGTTTCTGGTCTGTATTATTTTTCTTTTGTCTTGAAACTTTCTTTAATATTTCTCATAGAGAAGGTCTGCTAACAGTGAATTCCCTCAGTTTTTGTTTGTCTAAGAAAATCTATTTCTTCCTCACCTTACAGGATTTGCTGGATATGGTATTAAAGATTTATGGATAATTTTTAACACTTCAAATATTTCACACTTGTCTTGTTTTCATGGTTTCTAATGAGAAGTTTGCTGTAATTCTTATCTTTGTTCCTCTGTAGGGAAGGGGTTCTGTTTTACTCTGGCTCCTTTCAATATTTTTTTCTTTGTTTTTAGTTTTCCGTAAATTTCAGAGACTAAACCAGGAAGAAGTTGAATCTCTGAATAGACTAATAACAGGCTCTGAAATTGAGGCAATAATTCATAGCTTACCAACCAAAAAAAGTCCAGGACCAGATGGATTCACAGTCGAATTCTACCAGAGGTACAAGGAGGAGCTGGTACCATTCCTTCTGAAACTATTCCAATCAATAGAAAAAGAGGGAATCCTCCCTAACTCATTTTATGAGGCCAGCATCATCCCGATACCAAAGCCTGGCAGAGACAAAACAAAAAAAGAGAATTTTAGACCAATATCCCTGATGAACATTGATGCAAAAATCCTCAATAAAATACTGGCAAACTGAATCCAGCAGCACATCAAAAAGCTTATCCACCATGATCAAGTGGGCTTCATCCCTGGGATGCAAGGCTGGTTCAACATATGCAAATCAATAAATGTAATCCAGCATATAAATAGAACCAATGATAAAAACCACATGATTATCTCAATAGATGCACAAAAGGACTTTGACAAAATTCAACAGCCCTTCATGCTAAAAACTCTTAATAAATTAGGTATTGATGGGACGTATCTCAAAATAATAAGAGCTATCTATGACAAACCCACAGCCAATATCATACTGAATGGGCAAAAACTGGAAGCATTCCCTTAACTGACATAAGACAGGGATGCCCTCTATCACCACTCCTATTCAACATAGTGTTGGAAGTTCTGGCCAGGGCAATCAGGCAGGAGAAGGAAATAAAGGGTATTCAATTAGGAAAAGAGGAAGTCAAATTGTCCCTGTTTGCAGATGACATGATTGTATATCTAGAAAACCTCATTGTCTCAGCCCAAAATCTCCTTAAGCTGATAGGCAACTTCAGCAAAGTCTCAGGATACAACATCAATGTGCAAAAATCACAAGCATTCTTATACACCACTAAGAGACAAACAGCCAAATCATGAGTGAACTCCCATTCACAATTGCTTCAAAGAGAATAAAATACCTAGGAATCCAACTTACAAGGGACGTGAAGGACCTCTTCAAGGAGAACTACAAACAACTGCTCAATGAAATCAAAGAAGATACCAACAAATGGAAGTACATTCTATGCTCATGGGTAGGAAGAATCAATATTGTGAAATGGCCATACTGCCCAAGGTAATTTATAGATTCAATGCCATCCCCATCAAGCTACCAATGACTTTCTTCACAGAATTGGAAAAAACTACTTTAAGCTTCATATGGAACCAAAAAAGAGTGTGCATCATGAAGTCAATCCTAAGCCAAAAGAACAAAGCTGGAGGCATCATGCTACCTGGCTTCAAAGTATACTACAAGGCTACAGTAACCAAAACAGCATGGTACTGGTACCAAAACAGAGATATAGACCAATGGGACAGAACAGAGCCCTCAGAAATAATACCACACATCTACAACCAACTGATCTTTGACAAACCTGACAAAAACAAGAAATAGGGAAACGATTCCCTATTTAATAAATGGTGCTGGGAAAACTGGCTAGCCATATGTAGAAAGCTGAAACTGGATCCCTTCCTTACACCTTATACAAAAATTAATTCAAGATGGATTAAAGGCTTAAATGTTAGACCTAAAACCATAAAAACCCTAGAAGAAAACCTAGGCAATACCATTCAGGATATAGGCATGGGCAAGGACTTCATGTCTAAAACACCAAAAGCAATGGCAACAAAAGCCAAAATTGACATATGGGATCTAATTAAACTAAAGAGCTTCTGAACAGCAAAAGAAACTACCATCAGAGTGAACAGGCAACCTACAGAATGGGAGAAAATTTTTGCAATCTACTCATCTGACAAAGGGCTAATATCCAGAATCTACAATGAACTCAAACAAATTTACAAGAAAAAAACAAACAACCCCATCAAAAAGTGGGTGAAGGATATGAACAGACACTTCTCAAAAGAAGACATTTATGCAGCCAACAGACACATGAAAAAATGCTCATCATCACTGGTCATCAGAGAAATGCAAATCAAAGCCACAATGAGATACCATCTCACACCAGTTAGAATGGCAATCATTAAAAAATCAGGAAACAACAGGTGCTGGAGAGGATGTGGAGAAATAGGAATACTTTTACACTGTTGATGGGACTGTAAACTGGTTCAACCATGGTGGAAGTCAGTGTGGCGATTCCTCAGGGATCTAGAACTAGAAATACCATTTGAGCCAGCCATCCCATTACTGGGTATATACCCAAAGGATTATAAATCATGCTGCTATAAAGACACATGCACATGTATGTTTATTGCGGCACTATTCACAGTAGCAAAGACTTGGAACCAAGCCAAATGTCCAACAGTGATAGACTGGATTAAGAAAATGTGGCACATATACACCATGGAATACTATGCAGCCATAAAAAATGATGAGTTCACGTCCTTTGTAGGGACATGGATGAAGCTGGAAACCATCATTCTCAGCAAACTATTGCAAGGACAAAAAACCAAACACTGCATGTTCTCACTCATAAGTGGGAATTGAACAATGAGAACACATGGACACAGGAAGGGGAACATCACACACCATGGCCTGTTGTGGGGTAGGGGGAGGGGGGAGGGATAGCATTAGGAGATATACGTAATGTTAAACGATGAGTTACTGGGTGCAGCACACCAACATGGCACATGTATACATATGTAACTAACCTGCACATTGTGCACATGTACCCTAAAACTTAAAGTATAATAATATAATAATAATAATAATAATAATAATATGTCTAAGTGTATGTTGTTGTTATTGTTTTATTCTACTTGCGATTCTTTGAGGTTTGGGGATATGTGATTTACTGTCTGTCATTAAATTTGGAAAGTTTGGGGCTATTTTGATTTCAAATATTTACACTGCTTCATTCTATTGTTTATCTTCTGCTAATTCAGTTACATTTATGTTATACCTCTTGATTTTGTGCCACAGTTCTTGGATGATTTGTTTTGTTTTTCCCAATCTTTTTTCTCTTTGCTTTTCAGTTGAGAAAGTTTCTATTGACCTATCTTCAAGTTCACTGGTGCTTTCCTTTGCCATATTGACACTACTGATGAGTCCATCAAAGCCTTCCTTCATTTCTGTTACTGTGCTTTTTATTTATAACATTTTCTTTTATTCTTTCTTAGAATTTTTACCTCTCTGCTTACATTATGCATCTGTTCCTTCATGTTTTCTATTTTTTCCTTTAGAAACTTCAACTTATTAAACATAGTTATTTTAAATTTCCTGCCTGATAATTTCAACAGTTTTTTTATTTCTGAGTCTAGTTCTGATTGCTGCTTTGTCTCTTCAAACTGTTTTTTCTTGCCTTTAGCATGCTTGTAATTTTCTTGTTGAAAGCAGAACATGTTCTATCAGGTAATAAAAACTGAAGAAAATAGACCTTTAGTATGAGAATGAATGTTAATCTATCTAGGAATTAGGTTGTATTTAATGTTTAGGTACTAGAGTCTTCAAATTATCATTTCCTTGCTTGTTTCTCCCCTTAAGTTGGGACTTCTTTGAGTACTTCTTCTCAGAAAGAGTATGTGTCATGTAGCTGTTTCAGCTGTAATTATTACACTAGAACCCTATTGATGTGGTGGCAAGGTATTGTGGGGGGAGAGCTTTCTATAATCTAACAGTTAAGCATCAGTCTTTTCATAGTTCTGTGTCTTAGGGCTGTATCTTCACAAGTATTTCTGTCCTCCCTCCAGTGGTATTAATTTTCCCACTGCCCTGTAATTTTTTTTCCTGCCCCAGATCCAACCTCTAAGTGATTTTCTTGGAGCCCTGTTCTCTGCTGACTGTGTCTACTCCCATTAAGTGACACCAGAAAACTGGGGGCAAATAGAATGAAGAGGAAGTCCTTTCTAACTGTGATGTTTTCAGAATTCAGCTCAGGCAAAATCCTTTCCCTAAAGAGTACACATTTCCTATACAGAAGACTCTGGGTATGTTTCATAATGGCTACTCTTTCCTTCCCCTACCAGAACCAGGAGTAGATCTTTCTCAGATCCTCAACATTGGAACCTGGTGGGGATCTTGGAGGAGGGGAAAGTATATGAAAGTTTGGTATTGTCTGAAGATTACAGCCCCCAGGAGTTTCCTGTTCTCACATGAGTCCACCCTCAGCCTCCAGCAATAAGTAAAATTAGCATTTAACTGTTTCTACCAGCTTATGGCTCCAGTGGCTGCTCCTGCCAGTAAGCAAATCTTAGTTGTTAATATCCCTCTGGATGCACCTGTCTTCCTAGATTTCACAGTGGAGGATTGCCCTATGATATGGCCTCAGATCTTTTATGGTTCCAAGAAACATCATTGAATTTCAATTTGTTCAGAATTTTCTTGTTGTAAGTATGGAAGTTTTGACTTCCGAACTCTTTGTCAGCTGAAATTCACTTTTTTGTTTTTTGAAATTTTTAATAGTTATTTTTCCAAATCCAATTTAAAACTCTTTGCCAACTTTGAAAGTTAATTCCAATGTGATATTGATTGGAGGAGCATTAAATATATATATTAATTAGGGAAAAATTGAAATCTATAAAATTTTTAATCTCACTGTGCATTTATTCATTTTTTATGTTCCTTAGTGAAATTGTAACATTTTATGCATAAAGTTCCTGAATATTTATTATTTATTAATACTTATTAACTTTATTCAAAGTTGGATATTTTGGTACTATTGTGAATGAGATTTTTTCCATGTATATATATGTGCGTGTATATATATATATATACACACACACACACATATATATACACACACATATATATACACACACATACATGGAAAAAATCTTATTCACAATAGTACCAAACTATCCAACTTTGAATATATATATATACACATATATTTTATATATATATATACATATATTATGTACATATATAGATACATACATTTTAAAAATTTATATATATTTGAGGGGTGCACGTGCAGGTTTCTTACATGCATGTATTGCATAGTGGTGACGTCTGGGCTTTAAGTGTTCCCATCACCCAAATGGTGAACACTGCACCCAATAGGTAATTTTTCAACTCTCACCCCCCTCCTATCCTCCTACCTTTTGTAGTCTCCAATGTCTATTATACCATTCTGTGTGTCCATGTGTGCCCATTGTTTAGCTCCCACTAACAAGTGAGAACATGCAGTATTTGACTTTCTGTTATTTCACTTAGGAAAATGGCCTCCAGTTCTATCCACATTGCTGCAAAAGACATGATTTTATCCTTTTCTATGACTGATTGGTATTGAATGGTATATATACACCATATTTTCTTTATCCAGCCCTCAGTTATGGACACTTAGGTTGATTCCATATCTTTGCCATTGTGAATAGTGCTGTGATAAACATATGAGTGTTGGTATCTTTTTGATACAATGCTTGCTTTCTGTTTGCATGTATACCTATTAGGGGGGTTGCTGGATCGAATGGTAGTTCTGCTTTTAGTTACTGGAGAAATTTCAGCATTTTTTCCATAGAGCTTGACTGATTGACATTCCCACCAATAGTGTATGAGTTTACTTTTCTCCACACCCTCACCAACATATGTTGTTTTTAGGCTTTTTATTTATTTATTTTTAATGATATAATTTTATCATATGTATATAATTTTGAGATAGAGTCTCACTCTATCACCCAGGCTTGAGTGTAGGGGAATGATCATAGCTCACTGCAGCCTCCAACTCCTGGACTCAAGCAAACTTCTCACCTCATCCTCCCAAATAGCTGGGACTACAGGCATGTGCCACCATCCCAGGCTAGTTTTTAATTTTTGTTGTGACAGATCTTGCGATTTTGCCCAGGCTGATCTTAAATTCCTGACCTTAATCTATCCTCCTGCCTTGGCCTTCCAAACAGACTTTTTAAAAATAGCCATTTTGACTGCTGTTAAGATGGTATCGGGGGCCAGAGGGGAGGGGGCGTGGAGCCAAGATGGCCAAACAGGAACAGCTCCAGTCTACAGCTCCCAGTGTGAGCGACACAGAAGATGGGTGATTTCTGCATTTCCAACTGAGGTACTGGGTTCATCTCACTGGGGAGTGTCAGAAAGTGTGTGCAGGACAGTGGGTGCAGTGCACTGCAAGAGCCGAAGCAGGGCAAGGCATCGCCTCACCCGGGAAGCACAAGGGCTCAGGGAATTCCCTTTCCTAGTCAAAGAAAGGGGTGACAGATGGCACCTGGAAAATCAGGTCACTCCCACCCTAATACTGTGCTTTTCCAATGGTGTTAGCAAACGGCACACAAGGAGATTATATCCCATGCCTGGTTCAGAGGATCCTACGCCCACGGAGCCTTGTTCTTTGCTAACACAGCAGTCTGAGATCGAACTGCAAGGTGGCAGCGAGGCTGGGGGAGGGGCGCCCGCCATTGCCCAGGCTTGCTTAGGTAAACAAAGCAGCCAGGAAGCTCGAACTGGGTGGAGCCCACCACAGCTCAAGGAGGCCTGCCTGCCTCTGTAGGCTCCATCTCTGGGGGCAGGGCACAGACAACCAAAAAGACAGCAGTAACCTCTGCAGACTCAAATGTCTCTGTCTGACAGCTTTGAGGAGAGCAGTGGTTCTCCCAGCACGCAGCTGGAGATCTCAGAACGGGCAGACTGCCTCCTCAAGTGGGTCCCTGACCCCTGATCCCCGAGCAGCCTAACTGGGAGGCACCCCCCAGTAGGGGCAGACTGACACCTCACACGGCCGGGTACTCCTCTGAGACAAACTTCCAGAGGAACGATCAGACAGCAGCATTCACGGATCACAAAAATCCGTGGTTCTGCAGACACCACTGCTGATACCCAGGCAAACAGGGTCTGGAGTGGATCTCTAGCAAACTCCAACAGACCTGCAGCTGAGGGTCCTGTCTGTTAGAAGGAAAACTAACAAACAGAAAGGACATCCACACCAAAAACCCATCTGTACATCACCATCATCAAAGACCAAAAGTAGACAGAACCACAAAGATGGGGAAAAAACAGAGCAGAAAAGCCGGAAACTCTAAAAAGCAGAGTGCCTCTCCTCCTCCAAAGGAACACAGCTCCTCACCAGCAACGGAACAAAGCTGGATGGAGAATGACTTTGACAAGTTGGGAGAAGAAGGCTTCAGACGATCAAACTACTCTGAGCTACAGGAGGAAATTCAAACCAAAGGCAAAGAAGTTGAAAACTTTGAAAAAAATTTAGACAAATGTATAACTAGAATAACCAATACAGAGAATTGCTTAAAGGAGCTGATGGAGCTGAAAGCCAAGGCTCGAGAACTACATGAAGAATGCAGAAGCCTCAGGAGCTGATGTGATCAACTGGAAGAACAGGCATCAGTGATGGAAGATGAAATGAATGAAATGAAGCGAGAAGGGAAGTTTAGAGAAAAAAGAATAAAAAGTAACGAAAAAAACCTCCAAGAAATATGGGACTATGTGAAAAGACGAAATGTATGTCTGATTGGTGTACCTGAAAGTGACGGGGAAAATGGAACCAAGTTGGAAAACACTCTGTAGGATATTATCCAGGAGAACTTCCCCAATCTAGCAAGGCAGGCCAACATTCAGATTCAGGAAATACAGAGAACTCCACGAAGATACTGCTCGAGAAGAGCAACTCCAAGACACATAATTGTCAGATTCACCAAAGTTGAAATGAAGGAAAAAATGTTAAGGGCAGCCAGAGAGAAAGGTCGGGTTACCCATAAAGGGAAGCCCAACAGACTAACAGCAGATCTCTCAGGACAAACTCTACAAGCCAGAAGAGAGTGGGGGCCAATATTCAACATTCTTAAAGAAAAGAATTTTCAACCCAGAATTTCATATCCAGCCAAACTAAGCTTCATAAATGAAGGAGAAATAAAATACTTTACAGACAAGCAAATGCTGAGAGATTTTGTCACCACCAGGCCTGCCCTAAAAGAGCTCCTGAAGGAAGCACTAAACATGGAAAGGAACAACTGGTACCAGCCACTGCAAAATCATGCCAAATTGTAAAGACGATCAAGGCTAAGAAGAAACTGCATCAACTAACGAGCAAAATAACCAGCTAACATCATCATGACAGGATCAAATTCACACATAACAATATTAACTTTAAATGGAAATGGACTAAATGCTCCAATTAAAAGACACAGACTGGCAAATTGGATAAAGAGTCAAGACCCATCAGTGTGCTGTATTCAGGAATCCCATCTCATGGGCAGAGACACACATAGGCTCAAAATAAAAGGATGGAGGAAGATCTCCCAAGCAAATGGAAAACAAAAAAAGGCAGGGGTTGCAATCCTAGTCTCTGATAAAACAGACTTTAAACCAACAAAGATCAAAAGAGACAAAGAAGGCCATTACATAATGGTAAAGGGATCAATTCAACAAGAAGAGCTAACTATCCTAAATATATATGCACCCAATACAGGAGCACCCAGATTCATAGAGCAAGTCCTCAGTGACCTACAAAGAGACTTAGACTCCCACATAATAATAATGGGAGATTTTAACACCCCACTGTCAACATTAGACAGATCAATGAGACAGAAAATTAAGAAGGATACCCAGGAATTGAACTCAGCTCTGCACCAAGTGGACCTAATAGACATCTACAGAACTCTCCACCCCAAATCAACAGAATATACATTTTTTTCAGCACCACACCACACCTATTCCAAAATTGACCACATACTTGGAAGTAAAGCTCTCCTCAGCAAATGTAAAAGATCAGAAATTATAACAAACTGTCTCTCAGACCACAGTGCAATCAAACTAGAACTCAGCATTAAGAAACTCACTCAAAACCACTCAACTACATGGAAACTGAACAACCTGCTCCTGAATGACTACTGTGTACATAATGAAATGAAGGCAGAAATAAAGATGCTCCTTGAAACCAACGAGAACAAAGACACAACATACCAGAATCTCTGGGACACATTCAAAGCAGTGTGTAGAGGGAAATTTATAAAACTGAATGCCCACAACAGAAAGCAGGAAAGATCCAAAATTGACACCCTAACATCACAATTAGAAGAACTAGAAAAGCAAGAGCAAACACATTCAAAAGCTAGCAGAAGGCAAGAAATAACTAAAATCAGAGCAGAACTGAAGGAAATAGAGACACAAAAAACCCTTCAAAAAATTAATGAATCCAGGAGCTGGTTTTTTGAAAGGATCAACAAAATTGATAGACCGCTAGCAAGACTAATAAAGAAGAAAGGAGAGAAGAATCAAATAGATGCAATAAAAAATGATAAAGGGGATATCACCACCAATCCCACAGAAATACAAACTACCATTAGAGAATACTACGAACACCTCTATGCAAATAAACTAGAAAATCTAGAAGAAATGGATAAATTCCTCGACACATACACCCTCCCAAGACTAAAGCAGGAAGAAGTTGAATCTCTGAATAGACCAATAATAGGCTCTGAAATTGTGGCAATAATCAATAGCTTACCAACCAAAAAGAGTCCAGGACCAGATGGATTCACAGCCGAATTCTACCAGAGGTACAAGGAGGAACTGGTACCATTCCTTCTGAAACTATTCCAATCAATAGAAAAAGAGGGAATCCTCCCTAACTCATTTTATGAGGCCAGCATCATCCTGATACCAAAGCCAGGCAGAGACACAACAAAAAAAGAGAATTTTAGACCAATATACTTAATGAACATGGATGCAAAAATCCTCAATAAAATACTGGCAAACCAAATCCAGCAGCACATCAAAAAGCTTATCCACCATGATCAAGTGGGCTTCATCCCTGGGATGCAAGTCTGGTTCAATATATGCAAATCAATAAATGTAATCCAGCATATAAACAGAACCACAGACAAAAACCACATGATTATCTCAATAGATGCAGAAAAGGCCTTTGACAAATTTCAACAATGCTTCATGCTAAAAACTCTCAATAAATTAGGTATTGATGGGACGTATCTCAAAATAATAAGAGCTATCTATGACAAACCCACAGCCAATATCATACTGAATGGGCAAAAACTGGAAGCATTCCCTTTGAAAACTGGCACAAGACAGGGATGCCCTCTCTCACCACTACTATTCAACATAGTGTTGGAAGTTCTGGCCAGGGCAATTAAGCAGGAGAAGGAAATAAAGGATATTCAATTAGGAAAAGAGGAAGTCAAATTGTCCCTGTTTGCAGATGACATGATTGTATATCTAGAAAACCTCATTGTCTCAGCCCAAAATCTCCTTAAGCTGATAGGCAACTTCAGCAAAGTCTCAGGATACAAAATCAATGTACAAAAATCACAAGCATTCTTATACACCAATAACAGACAAACAGAGAGCCAAATCATGAGTGAACTCCCATTCACAATTGCTTCAAACAGAATAAAATACCTAGGAATCCAACTTACAAGGGATGTGAAGGACTTCTTCAAGGAGAACTACAAACCACTGCTCAATGAAATAAAACAGGATACAAACAAATGGAAGAACATTCCATGCTCATGGGTAGGAAGAATCAATATCATGAAAATGGCCACGCTGCCCAAGGTAATTTATAGATTCAATGCCATCCCCATCAAGCTACCAATGACTTTCTTCACAGAATTGGAAAAACTACTTTAAGCTTCATATGGAACCAAAAAAGAGCCCGCATCACCAAGTCAATCCTAAGGCAAAAGAACAAAGCTGGAGGCATCATGCTACCTGACTTCAAACTATATTACAAGGCTACAGTAACCAAAACAGCATGGTACTGGTACCAAAACAGAGATATAGATCAATGGAACAGAACAGAGCCCTCAGAAATAATGCCGCATATCTACAACTATCTGATTTTTGACAAACCTGAGAAAAACAAGCAATGGGGAAAGGATTCCCTATTTAATAAATGGTGCTGGGAAAACTGGCTAGCCATATGTAGAAAGCTGAAACTGGATCCCTTCCTTACACCTTATACAAAAATCAATTCAAGATGGATTAAAGACTTAAATGTTAGACCTAAAACCATAAAAACCCTAGAAGAAAACCTAGGCATTACCATTCAGGACATAGGCATGGGCAAGGACTTCATGTCTAAAATGCCAAAAGCAATGGCAACAAAACCCAAAATTGACAAATGGGATCTAATTAAACTAAAGAGCTTCTGCACAGCAAAAGAAACTACCATCAGAGTGAACAGGCAACCTACAAAATGGGAGAAAATTTTTGCAACCTACTCATCTGACAAAGGGCTAATATCCAGAATCTACAATGAACTCAAACAAATTTACAAGAAAAAAACAGCCCCATCAAAAAGTGGGCGAAGGACATGAACAGACACTTCTCAAAAGAAGACATTTATGCAGCCAAAAAACACATGAAAAAATGCTCACCATCACTGGCTATCAGAGAAATGCAAATCAAAACCACAATGAGATACCATCTGACACCAGTTAGAATGGCAATCATTAAAAAGTCAGGAAACAACAGGTGCTGGAGAGGATGTGGAGAAATAGGAACACTTTTACACTGTTGGTGGGACTGTAAACTAGTTCAACCATTGTGGAAGTCAGTGTGGCGATTCCTCAGGGATCTAGAACTAGAAATACCATTTGAGCCAGCCATCCCATTACTGGGTATATACCCAAAGGACTATAAATCATGCTGCTATAAAGACACATGCACACGTATGTTTATTGTGGCACTATTCACAATAGCAAAGACTTGGAACCAACCCAAATGTCCAACAATGATGGACTGGATTAAGAAAATGTGGCACATATACACCATGGAATACTATGCAGCCATAAAAAATGATGAGTTCATGTCCTTTGCAGGGACATGAATGAAATTGGAAA
The DNA here is from genome assembly GCF_000001405.40 of Homo sapiens. Classification (NCBI taxonomy): domain Eukaryota; kingdom Metazoa; phylum Chordata; class Mammalia; order Primates; family Hominidae; genus Homo; species Homo sapiens. The sequence goes on along the minus strand of NC_000015.10, from coordinate 37,303,568 downwards.
TCATCATTCTCAGTAAACTATCGCAAGAACAAAATCTAAACACCCATATTCTCACTCATAGGTGGGAATTGAACAATGAGAACACATGGACACAGGAAGGGGAACATCACACTCTGGGGACTGTTGTGGGGTGGGGGTATTGGGGAGGGATAGCTTTAGGAGATATACCTAATGCTAAATGACGAGTTAATGGGTGCAGCACACCAGCATGGCACATGTATACATATGTAACTATCCTGCACATTGTGCACATGTACCCTAAAACTTAAAGTATAATAATAATAAAGTAAACAAGTCAAAAAAAACAAAAAACAACAACAACAACAAAAAATATACTCTGCACCAAACCAAAAAAAAAAAGAAAGCATGTGAAACTTTGAATTTGAGTCTGACTACAGCTTTAACTGTATCTCATGAGTTTTTATAATTTGTAGATTTATTGTGATTTTTAATATTCAACAATTATACTTTTGACTTCCTCTTTGACAGTAGAATTATTTAGTAACTTTTTTTTGCTTTGAAATTTTCAATTGATTTGAATTTGATGTTTTAAAGTTGTTAAAATTTTGCAGTGATATTTCTTTGTTGCAGAAATCTACCTTCTGAATTTTCTGCTTTGGTGAATTTAACTAAGTTTACCTTATGTTTATTCATGATCAACTTTTGAAAATTCTCCAAAACCAATATATTTCTGTCAATCTCACATATTTTTTAAAATCTATACTTGGTATATTTATTTTTTACATAATTATTTATGACCCATGTATTCATTGTGCATTTTACGTTTTATCAGTAAACATCAACTCTCTTTTCCTATTACTTGCTGCCTTGATTTCCACTATTTTGATGTTACAATCCCTGCTTTTTTTTTGCCTATTTAGTCATTTTGTTTAAATGATAGGTTGTAAAGAAAAGACACAGTTTTGTTTTATTTTGTTTTTTGTTTGTTGAGATGTGGTCCCACTCTGTCTCCCAGGCCAGAGAGCAGTAGTGCACTCATGGCTCACTGCATCCTCCACCTTGTGTGCTCAAGTTATCCTTCCACCTCAGCCACTTGAGTAGCTGGGACCATAGGCATGTGCCACCAGGCCTGGCTAATTTTTTTTTGTTTGTGGAGATGAGGCCTTGCTATGTTGCCCAGGCTAGTCTTGAACTCCTGGACACAAGTGATTCTTTCGCCTTTGACCTCCCAAAGTGCTGGGATTACATACGTGAGCTGCTGTGACCAGTTCATAGACTTTTAGGTAGGATACCTTTTAACCTTTTTTTTTTTAACTGTAATAACCTGATATTTATAATATTATATCTGTCATAATGCTTTCTGAGGTTGTAAGAATGTTTACTTTATTTTATGTGTGTTATACAAATTGTGTTATTGTTGATTTTATCCTCAATCTTTTTACTTTCTAAATTGTACCTCTAAGTTATTTTCTTCTGATCATTATTTTTGAAAGTTAAGCAATATGTATTAACTCTCCTTCTTGACTCTTAAGGACATTAAAGACATTGGCATGATTTGTTTTTTTCTCCGACCTTCTTCTGCAGTGATTTTTGGCATTATTTGGGATATATTTTATCTGGTTCCTTATTACATTTTATCTTATATTTCAGTTTAAATAAGTATTTAGGACTTCCATTTTGTTTTATAATAATCTTTAGGAGATATTTAGTCTAAATTCTGTTGTTTCATGGTTTTAATATCCATTGACATTTTTTAAACAGTATAGTTCTCCCATTTCTGAGGTTTTTTTTTCTTTTTGCATGTCCCTCCATTATTTCAAACTGTCTTTTGTAGTAGTATTTTAGGAAAAATACCTGAGTGTTTTGCTTGTCAAGTTCTTCATGTCTAAGACTCTCTTTCTGTTACTGTCACACATAAATGCCAACTTTGTGCAGAGTAAAGGAGGGACCAAGAATCGTGCAGGCAAAATGACTGGATTACTTTTTTCCCACTGGCATCTTTTCTAAAATCTTTAATTATTTTTTATTTACTAACAGTATGACTCCCTAGAGTACTGTGTGCCATATCTTTATTGCTTTGTGTAAATAGTTCTTTCATATATTGTCTTAAATTTTTCTAACTCAAGTTCAAGAGATGTCCTTAAACCTAATAATATGAAATTTGGGGAATATGCCCATGAACTTTATGGCAATATTCACACTTTATAGTTTTCAATCAGGCCAATAGTTAACTTTTGCTTTTTTAGTCTGAAAATCTCTAATATTCTTCCACTCACATTCCTTCATTTCTTTTAGTCTTTTTTCCTAATACTGCTTATTTTTAAATTTTTTACTGATTCACTTCAAACTCATGCCAAATTCAAGGTGCTACACAATATATGTATAAAATAAGAGCCTCTATTTTGTCTTCAATGAGTTTCTTATAGAGAGGCAAAGTATCTCGATAAACTGAGACATGTGCACTTGGAAAGAGTTCGTGAGGGTTCATTACCAAGATCCCTTGACTTTATACATATAGTTTAGATTTTTAAGCTCTAAGCCCATTTATCTTCCATTTCTCTGTCGATTTATGAGATTCATAGTGTTCACTCATAAATACACCATCATTCACTTAGGTCTCCTGGAGTACATTCTCATTGGCCTGACTCTTCAGAACTGAAAAATTGTATTATTTAAAAACAGTAAATGAAACAACTTGTAGCACTTACTCCAAAGGAACTATCTAAGTGTTGCAAAGAGAAAAAAGTAAGTGATATACACTATATGGAAAGTCTTACCTCATTGTGGACTTTTCAAATAAATGATTCATAGGAATAAATCTCTAAGGAGTTAAAACATGCTGCTGTTTTGTTATTCTTTATTCTAATAAAAATATTCATTAGAATGTTTTCCTAAAATAAAGCTTTGTATTAGAGTGTATATTAAGGTCATCACACTGGGAGATTTTAGAATTAGTACATTTTTTCTTAAGCAAAATGTATTCATAGTTCTAGTTTCTACACATTTCTGAAAAATTCTTTTCTGCCTTAAAAATTTAGCAACTTAAGTGACTGAATTCTTTTTTTAATTCACTGTTTAAAAGTGCCATTATATCTACATTTGAAATAATTACAAGTAGATACAAAAAAAATCTGCTATCAAAATCAGTTGTCACTTGAAAGTATTTCTCATTGCTAACTTTTTAAGGATTTCAAGGTTGTATATTTGTTATAGTTTTTATTTTTAAGCATTGTCAACTGTATCCAGAAGATTAAGGCAGATCTAAAGAAATCATCGACTAGACCACAATATATTATCTAATTTTTTTTAATGACTTAACAAAACAGACTATAATGGTTCCAAAGAATACATTAAAGACACTTGGGCGTCCTTTCAAGTTCCTTCTGTGGATTATAATTAATTTAGTGGGTGAGTGGCATGACATCGATGTGGTCTGTTTAATACATAGCAGGGAAAATCTGTGGCAAAAGAAACTATAATCAGACCTGGGACTACTTCATAATCCTTTGTAGGCAATGAAATATGGACTTTGAGGAATAACTTTAATAGTATTGGGTGAATTTTACTTCAATCACTTCACTATTGCTTGCGAATTCAAGAGAAGGAACACCAATGTCCAAACTAGCTGTGATCTAAAACATTTCTTTTAGCCAAATGTCTTTTACAAGAAAATTTTATCAATGATGCACCATTATAAGAGTTTGTTCATCTACCTTATCCTGAGAAACCTAGATGCTGTATTATTCTAACATGAGACAACTTTCTAAATTTATCAAGCCTTTGATTATAAATTTGAACAAGAGAGATCACGTATCCCACTGTTGAAAAGATGTGTTTTTTCTTAACTTCCTGGCCATATGGAGAAAATACTATTGAATATACACTTTATACTCCATAGAGAGGCATACTGAAGAGAAATTAAAGACATAAATGTGAAAATTAAAACTATAAAGCTGATACAATTATAGAAAAATATTTTTGTGACCTTAGAAATGATAAAAACTTTTTAAGAAAACTAATATCATAAGGAGGAATATTAATGGTTTTGATTACACACTATCAAGTATTTTTATGTAAAGATACCATAAACAAATTTTTTAATTGAGAAAAACTATTTTCCTGAAACTAAGCATGCTTCATAGCTCTGTTACTACAACTTCCTTACTACATATAAATCTAATTTATGTGTGAAATGTTATTATGTACTAATAATTTCTAGTGTTTTTAATTTCTTTTTTAATTTTATTTTACTTTAAGTTTTGGGAGACATGTGCAGAATGTGCAGGTTTGTTACATGTGTGCAACGCTCAGGTAAATGTTTGCCACAACGGTTTCCTGCCCCTACAACCTGTCACCTAGGTATTAAGCCCCACATGCATTAGCTATTTGTCCTGAACCATAAACAAAATTAACAGGAAAATAGATTGGAAAAATACTTATAATGTTAAAAAACTAAGTAGGAGTCAAGACAATTCAATGGGGGAAGAAGGTCTTTTCAACAAATGGTGCTGGGACAACTGGGTATCCATAGACAGAAGGATGAATGAAGTTAAACCCATACACAAAATTTGTTCATATCCATACACACTGTACATAAAAAATTAACCTAAAATGATCATAGATCTATAACTATAAAACACTTAGAAGAAAACATTGAAGTCCATCTTCATGACATTGGGTTCCACAATGGCTTCTTAGTTACAAAACCAAACACATAAATGACAAAAGGGAAAAATAGACTTCATAAATTAAAAACTTTTATTCTTCAAAAAACACCATCAAGAAAGTGAAAAAACCCGCAGATTGGGATAAAATGTTTGCAAATCATGTATCTGATAAGGGATTTTGTGGTAGTTAATGTCAGGTGTCAGCTCAGCTGGACTGAAGGATACTCAGCTGGTAAACCATTATTTCTGGATATGTGTGGGGGTGTTTCCAGAAGAGATTGGCATTTGAATCAGTGAACAAAGAAAGATCCACGTCAATGTGGAAACCATCCAGTTGGCTGAGGGCCTGGATTTAAAAAAAAAAAAAAAAAAAAAAAAAGAGGAGGAAAGGTGGATTCCCTCTCTGTCTTCTGGAGTTGGCACACCTTTCTTCTGCCCTTGGACATCAGAACTCTAGACTCTCTGGCCTTTGGACTCTGGGACTTGCATCAGCAGACCATCAGATTCTCAGATTTTCAGCCTCAGACTGAAGTTATACCATTGGTTTCCCTGGTTCTCCATCTGGCAGAGGGCCTATCATGGGACTTTCAGTCTCCATTGTTGAGTGAGCCAGTTCCCCTAATAAATCACCTCTCATGCATCTCTCTATATATATCTCTGTCTGTCTCTTGATATCTGTCTATCTAATCTGTTTATCTATCTATCCTATTGGTTCTGTCACTCTGGAGACCCTGACAAATTCAGATTTATATTGAATATATAAAGAACACTTAAAAAGACAAATAATCAAAGATAAAATGGGCAAATAGTTTTAATAGACATTTCTCTAAAGAAATGATCTAGCAAATCAAAACCATGATGAGATATCGCTGTCATATCCATAGGATGGCTATACTTAAAAATATATATAATAACAAGCATTGTCAAAGATGGGGAAAAAATAGAACTTTCATATATTGCTGATGGGTATGTAAAATGATGCAATTGCTTTGAAAAATGATTTAACAGTCTTTTAGAATGTTAAACATTGTGTTGGTGTATTATCTAGCAGTTCTACTCCTAAATGCACACCCGAAATAAATATGAACATACATCTACATAAAAACTTGTACACAAATGTTTATAGTACTATTATCCATAATAGCTTAAAACTGGAAAACAACCCAAATTTCCATCAACTGATGAATGGGTTAACAAAATTCCATACAATGGAATATCACTTGTTAGTAAAAATAAGCATTGATACATGTTACAACATGAGTGAACCTCAATAACATTAACTAAGTGAAAGAAGCCAGTCACAAAAACCACGTTTTGTGATTCTATTTGTATTAACTGTTCAGAATAAGCAAATCTATAGAGACAGAACATAGAATAGTGATTGCTTATGGCTATAACATTGTTGAGTGGAAATGTGGAATGATGCCAATGAGTATGGGTTTTCTTTCTGTAATGATGAAATTATTCTAAAATTGATTATGATTGTACAACTCTGCAAATATACTAATAATTTAATATACTAATAATGTACATTTTTAATGTATTGATTGTATGGTATATGAATTATATCTCAATAAAGCTATTTTTTAATATCTAATAATTTCCTGTTTTTTAACTAATGTAATATATTAATATTAGCGAAAGTGAGATGAGTATATATTGAAATTCTTTGAACTGTAAATGAAAAAGTATTCTAAAATAAAAGTTAAAAATAAAGACTACAGTTTAGTATATTGAGGAATTCCTCCAGGCAACAATAAAAAGATAGAAAATTCAATTAAAAAACAGACCAACAAAATTAATAGACAATCAGAGAAGATGAAATATTAAGGACTAACAGATTTCAAAGCAATTTCTCACCAGTTAGATGAACAATGTAAAATGAAGTAAAACAATAACATAACTCTTCATACCTATCAGCTGACAAATACCACAAAGTCAGAGAATGGTAAGTTTTATTAAAGATGTGGGCAAACAAGTACCCTCATGTTGTTGGGAGTCTAGACTAGTGCAGCCATTCTGGAGAATAATATGGTAACTGCTTGCAAAATGAAGTACTCAAATACCCAGTGGCCTAGCCACCCCATCCCCAGACATAAAATCCAAAGAAATTCATGTGTAAGCTCATGAGTGGAGAGATGTAAAATGTTCATTGCCATGAACTTTGTGATGGTGAAAAGTTAGAAGCAAGCTGTATATCCATCATAGAATTGAAAGTAGATATGGAGGGCACATCATATGAAATACTTTGCAATAGTTAGAAGGAATAAACAAGGGATTTTTTTTTCACTAAGAAGAGATTCTAAAATTAAAGTGAAAAAGAATAACAAAAATAAAAAAACAATACTGATAATATAATATTTATGTAACTCACAGATATATAGACAAAAGCCCATTGTATATTTTTAAATGTATATACATATTCAGAGACATTTAAGAAGCATTTTTGTGGGGGTCATTGAAATAGTGTTAGGGAGTAGTGAAAGGTATAAGTATTACGGTCAGGGATAATGAAAACAGAATAAGGTAATAAATAATATCATACCAGAGAAATGCTTTAAGTACTATACTCAACCTTCTGCCCCTGAGTTCTAAAAAAGAAAGGGCAAAAACATAATGTAATTCATTAAAACATTACTGACCTCACAGAATTATATTTATTTCCTTGAAATGATCAAACTAGATATAATAGTTTTGCATTATTTATAGAAGTATTAATTGTATTTTTTCTTCTTTACTGCTAAACTTTTAAAAAGAATTATTTTCCCAAGCTACTCCCTTGATTTCTTGCAATTTGCATTCTACATTATTCTCCTTGAACACCATTCTTTCAGAAGACTCCAATGACATCCTTACTTTCTCATTTTACAAAATCTCTGTCACCAGGCTTGAGTGCAGTGGCATGATCTCAGCTCACTGCAACCTCCGCCTCCCTGGTTCAAGCAATTCTCCTGCTTCAGCCTCCCAAGTAGCTAGGACTACAGGTGCCCGCCACCAAGCGAGCTAATTTTTGTATTTTTACTAGAGTCAGTGTTTCACCATGTTGGCCAGGATAGTCTCGATCTCTTGACCTCGTGATCCACCCACCTCGGCATCCCAAAGTGCTGGGATTACAGGCGTGAGCCACCGCACTCGGCCTGCAGTTTAAAAAAAAAAAAAAAAAAATGGCTTCTTCTTAAAATTTTCTCATATTTTGGATTCAGAAAGAATTCATTTTCCAAGTTCTCCTGGAGTTCCCACCACCTTACCAATATTTCTCACTATGCTGTAGCTTTTCCTTCTCAGCCTACCCGTTAATGGTAGATACTTCCAAATGCTTTCACCTTGGCCCTCTTTTCTTCTTGTCGTTGTCTATATCCAGGCAAATAACTTCGAATATTACTCAATGTAATTGATTTCCTGAAATGTAGCTCAGAATTTTCAATATATCTCCTGTGAATGTCCCAGCATCCACAGCACCTCAAACTGAACATGTCTCAAGTTGAATATCTTCCTCCACAGACTTTTTCCTCCTATTGTGTTCTCAATCTCAGCAAGACTGTTCTAGTCACCGTAGGCTGGCAGCTCTTCCTAAAGCATAATTTGCTTTCACAGTACACACTCAATAGATGACAAGTCTTTTGAATATACATCCTCAGTGCCTTCTAGTATCCATCCTCTCCTCTTCATTCCCACCACTATCTCTGTAACTCAGACCTGCATTGTTACTCAGCTGTCCTGTTTCTATTACTCCAAACGGAATATAATTCTATTTTCATATATCTTGGGGTTAAGGATAAAGGATACTCCTGGAGAAAAAGTATGAAGGTAAAAGTAAGAATAAGAATAGGAAAAGCCCTAAGGGGATGGGCAAAATTAGAAGACAGACCTATAAATCACTTTTTCAGGGAGATAAATTTTTAAGAATGCCTTTGTATTCAAATATTGGCAGGTTTTGTGCTTTATTTTCATGGGCATGTCATCCTCTTACACACCTATCCCTAGCCCATATCAATTCTATTTTGTGGTGTGAATACCCTGCTTTAAAACAGCCTATCTCTTCATTTTCTTGATTAACTTTGTCATATTAGAATAATAGTTTCCTAAAGGAATTTTCCTGGATTCAGTTTCTTACTTGTCATTCAAAGTTTTAAAATCTCACTCTTTAGAGCAGATATCGCATTTTTCACCTATTAGATTAGCAAAAATAAAAGAGACTGATACTATGCAGGTATGGAGGAAAGAGCTCTATTTACATAGGACTGCAAATGGCAGCAACTTACTGGAAGCTAATTTGGTCAAGCCAATAATGCTTTTTAAATATGCATGCCATTTGATCCAGGGATTCCATTTTAGAACTATAGCCTACAGAATCGCTTGCATAGGAAAGCAAGAATGTTCCTTATAGCAGTTTTCATGGAAAAAGAAATGTGAAAACCCACTTAAATGAGCATAAATAGGAAAATGTTTGAATTATGGAACATCCATATTGTATGATATCATTTAACTTTTTGAAATAATGAAAAAGACCTGCACACACTGGTATATAAATATGCCCACAAAAAATACAGAATAATCTCATTTTTATAAAATAAAGAACTACAAAATATATACAAATTTGAGTGTGCGTCTGTGTGGTAGAAATATGGTATTGGTATACATTTATGTGTATATATCTCTGTGCATATATATGTCATATATATGGTTTACATTTTTTAAAAAGGGATGTGTATTACTATCTCTGCCTCCCACAATGTCTCCAGTTTATTCTTGCTCCTCCTTTTCTGAATTCCTATAGCACATTCCAAGGCTGTCTACATGTGTCTTGTTTATACTAGCAATTATAGGTTTGTTGACAGCAGCTAAATTGAATTTTATACATCTTAAATTTCCTGCATGGCCTATGTAGGTACTCAAGAATACTTGCTGAAGCACTTCACCATTATCAAAGTAGAAATACATATTTTTAAAATATGTTACCAAAAATATGTGTTTATGCATGACTCGGTTTAGAACTGAGAGCTTTGTAACATCCTTTGCATGCGTTTCATAATCCACTAAACTACAGAAAATTAATAACAAAGGAGGGAAATTAATTACCCATCAGTCAAAAATTAGACATTTATTTGGTATTCAGCAAGTCGGCATAAATATTTCTAATCTTTGAGTCATAGTTTGATTCTGTTAATAGCCTAATAAGAAAGAAAAGAGTGAAAGTGATTCTTGTGGGTCAATGGCAGGGATCACAAAGAGTTTATGATCTGATAAAGTAGTTTAGCTCTTTTGAACTAGAAATTTCTGCCAGAGCTGGAAATAGTAGAAATAGTAGAGTAGAAATTTGCTACCAGAGCTGATATTTGATAAGTCAACAAAAACCAAAGGCTTTTTTCCACCTGCAGAAGTAGAGTATTTGTCAAGATATGTTTTCCTGGGAAAAAATGGCACTGGAATTTGCCACTATTATCACTACTACTCTTCTCATTATATTAAGTTCCACAAATTTCCCAAAACAAATATAGCAAATAATTGTATTTCTTAAATATTTTAAAATTATACAAAAATTAATAAATTTTATTTATTAAATGTTTATATTTACTAAATATTTATATTTATATGTTTATAATTCTTATGACATTTCTGAAAATATATAAAGTGATGTATCTCATAACAATGTTTCAGTCAATGATGGACCACATATAGGATGCTGGTCCCATAAGATTATAGCAGAGCTGAAAAAATCCTATCACCTAGCAATGGTCACCATAATGTTGCGGCAAAATGCATTACTCATGTGTTTGTGGTGATGCTGGTTTAAACACACCTACTGCACTGCCAGTTGAATAAAAGTATAGCATATACAATTATGTGCAGTATGTAATACTTGATAGTGATAGTAAACAACTATGTTACTGGTTTATGTGTGTGTTAATACTATATTATACTTTTATCATTATTTTAGAGTGTACTCCTTGTAACTTATTTTGAAAAGTGAACTATAAAATAGCCTCAGGCAGGTCCCTCAGGAGATGTTCCAGAAAAAGGTAGTGTTCTCATAGGAGATGACAGCTTCATGTATGTTATTGTCCCTAAAGACCTTATAGTGGGACAAGATGTGGTGGTGGAAGACAGTGATGTTGATTATTTTGACTCTGTTTAGGCTTAGGCTAATGTGTGTGTTTGCAGTGTCAACAAAAATACTTTAAAGAGTAAAAATAAATTTTTAAATGGAAAAAAGCTTATAGAACACATATAAAGAAAGAAAATATTTGTGTACAGCTGTGCAATGTGTTTGTTTTGAACTGTGTTGTTATAAAAGAGAAAAAAGTTAAAAACTATTAAAAAGTTTATAAAGTAAAAGAATTACTTTTATTCGTAAGTTAAGGTTAATTAGTAAGCTAAGGCTAACATTTTTTTTTTACTTACCAGTATCCTAACAAGGAAAGTTAATTTACTATTGAAGAAAGAATTTTTGTAAATTTAATCCAACTGCATGGTGTTTTTTAAGTCTATGGTAGTGTACAATTATATCCTAGGCCTTCACATTCTCTCATTGCTCGCTCACCAACTCACCCAGAGTAATTTTTAGTCTTGCAAGCTCCATTCATGGTAAGTGCCACATATAGATGTACCATTTTTTAAATATTTTATGCTATATTTTTACTGTATCTTTTCTATGTTTAGTTACACAAATACTTACTATTGTGTTATAGTTGTCCATAATATTCAGTACTGTAACATGTTGTACAGGTTTGTAGACTAGGAGCAATAGGCTATATCACATAGCCTAGAAGTGTAGTAAGCTACTACCGTGTAGGCAGGTTTGTGTAAGTAAACTCATGATGTTTGCACAATGATGAAATCAAAACATATCACTGTTGTTAAGTGAGGCATAACTCTATATATAGTCATACACCCATTTACAGATAACAGAGAGGTCAAATAGTTTTTTAAAGTTACATAGCTGTAGGTTTTAGTACCATGATTCAACCTGGATCTGTTTAATTCTGAGCTCTTTTTCAGATTTCCTCTCACTCCACAGTGTGATACAACATTTTATTGAAATGTATGGGAAAAAAAAGATAGTTAAATCCTAGGATACTTCAAATGAAAAGTCCCGTCAATACTCAAGTTTTGACAAGTAGACAAAGACATGGAAATTTAGGCAGCCTCCTTGCTGTTACTCTGACATAGCATCATCTGCAATTATGACCAACATACAGTATGGACAGCTGTCACTCAGTTACTTCTGTAGACTGGGGACTGCTTTCAATAGCCTATTGAGGAGTTGTTAATTGCCTTTCCTAGTTTGTGCTTCAATTTCATATCTTCTACTTTTACAGGAGAGCCATGCAAAAATCAGCAATGTAATATTTCCATAAGGCTGTTGTTGATAACTCAGAGTGGTGGCTCTAATCTCACATTGCTTGGGTTTGAATCCCAAAGCTGCCATTTACTGTATGACCTTGGGTAAACTGCTTAATCTAAGTCAGAGTTTATTTAGCTATAAAGTAAGGATCACAATACTACTCCAGGAATAACTGAGATCAATATGCAGGAGTAAATGAGATCATGTGTGTATAGTACCTACTTCAGCAGCTGGCTCATAATTAGTGCTCAATAAATATTAGCTATTATTATTATCAATTAAAATTGTTCATGTTTTATTAAAGTTTGTTTCAAAAATAAATGTCACAAAATAATTGTGTCTCTCTCATGTACCCCAAACCCCAAGAACTGAGTTGAACTTTCTCCATCCTTAAAATGAAAGCTAGATCACCTAGGGTAACATTATGGTCTAAATATTGATTTACCTTTAAAATTAATATGTTGAAACCTAACCCCCAAGGTGATCATACTAAAAGGGCCTTTTGGAAAGTGATTAAATCATGAAGGCTCCACCTTCATGAAAGGGATGAGTGTCCTTATAAAACAAGTTGAAAGGAGCTTCCTTCCCTCTTCTTTCCTTTCCATAACGTAAGGACACAGAAGGTGCCATCTATGAAGAATAGGTTCTACTAAAGACATCAAATCTACTGGTGCCTTGATCTTGGACTTCCCAGACTCCAGAACTGTGAGCAATAAATTTCTGTTGTTTATAAATTACCCAGTCTAAGGTATTTTCTTATAGCATCCCAAACAGACTGAGATAGAAATTGGTATTGAGAACTGGGGTGCTGCTGTAACAAATACCTAAAAAAGTGGAAGCAGCTTTAGATATGGGTAATTGGCAAGAGCTAGAAGAGTTTGGAGGAGCAGGCTAGGAAAAGCCTATATTGCCATAAAAAATAACCTTAAGGATAATTTTGGTGAGGTCTCAGAAAGAAAGCAGGGCTGCAGAGAATGCCTTAATCTTCTTAGAGATTACCTAAGTGGTTATAATTAGAATGTTGGTAGATATATGGATGGTAAAGGCCATTCTTTTGACATCTTAGAAGGAAATGAGGAACAGTATTCAGAGGAAACAGAGAAAACTAGAGGAAAGATAATCCTTGTTATAAAAGTGGCAGAAAACTTGGCTGCACTGTGTTAATGATCTAGTGTTTTGTGGAAGGCAGACTTCTGAGTAATAAACTAGATTTGGTGGAAGAAATCTCTATGCAAAGTGTCGAGGGTGCAGCATGGCTTCTCTTGACTACTTATAGCAAAATGCGAGAAGAGAAAAACAAATTAAAAATGAACTTAATCTAAAATGAAACAGAACTTAAAGATTTGGACAATTCTCAACCTGACCATGTTGTAATTAATATAAAACAGTGTTCAAGAGAGAATACCCTGTGTTTGGCCAAGCAAATGCTTGATAATGAAATTAGTATGGCTAGAAGGAAGTCAGATGCTATTTATCAAGATGATGGAGGAAGAATTCTAAAGGCATTTCCAAGATCTGTGTGGCTGCCCCACCCAGACAGGCCCAGAATGCCAAGGCCTTGGAGGTAGAACAATTGCAAGGTTCTGCTCCTTGGATTCCAGTGTAATGCTCCTTGACTGCCCCAGCTGTGGCTCAAACAGGTTTAGGTGTGGCTCAGGCCACCTTTCCAAAAAGTACAAGAAATAAATCATTGCAGCATTCATGTGGTACTAACTCTGCAGACACACAGCATGCAAGAACACAGCTTGCTAGAACAAGTTAAGACTTTGGGGCTATTGGGATGGAGCGAATATATTTTGTATGTGCAAAAAGCATTAATTGGAGGGGGCAGGGGCAGAATGCTATGGCCTGAATGTTGGTGTTCTCCCAAAATTCGTATGCTGAAACCTAACCCCAGTGGTGATGGTATTAAGAGATGGGGCTGTTAGGGAAGTCATTAAGTCAAGAGGGCTCTGCTCTCATGAATGAGATCAGTGCCCTTATGAAAGAGGTTGAAGGGAGTGGCCTTGCCCCTTCCATTCCTTCCACCAGGTGAAGACACAGAAGGTGCAATCTTTGGGGAACAGGTCCTCACCAGACACCAAATCTGCTGGCACTTTGATCTTGAAATTCTTCACCTCCAGAACTGTGAGCAATAGATCTGTTTTTTATAAATTACCCAGTTTAAGATATTTTGTTATAGCAGCCTAAATGAAATGAGACAGGCAGTGATTCTCAAATGAGGGGAAAGATCTGGAGGCATTATTGGTCATCACAACAGGAGGGGAGGAAGGGAGGCACTACTGGCATCTAGTGGTTAGAGTCCAGGGATGCTGCTCGAAAACATCCTACAATGCACTAGGGCAGCCTGCCACAGTAGGAAATTGTCCAGCCCAAAATGTCAATGGTACAGCATCAGAGTTGAGAAACTCTGGCCTAGGGTAGTTCTCTCCTTGCCAGAACTGCAGGGAAATTCACTTTCTCTTCATTCAGTTTCGCTCTCTTATCATTCTACTGGTTTCTTACATTAGTCCAGGTATCCTATTTTATATTATAACCTTATCATTTTTTTGCTGTAAGATGCTTGAAATTATTTTTGGAAAGAAGTAGTAGATTATATAAATTCAATGAATGTAATTTTAAATGTTTAGGTGAATCACTCCAAACTCTAACCCCATGTGCCATCTTTCCTGATGAGTGTGTCTGTCAATGTCCATTCAGTTATTCCTATAGTTTTGAGATCTCACTGCTAAATTTTATGTAGCACCCAGAACAGTGTCATAAACAGATAAATGACGTTTACAATGATTATGATAATGACCTTTCTGCATCTGAAATATTAAAAGGAATCACAAAGCAGAATGCTAGCAATCAATCAATACAGGCACAAACATTTATTGAGCTCCTGTAATGTACCCTACTCTGTGTCAGGTGCTATGAGGGAAGAAAAGTTTGTCTTATACTTCTGTTACATCCTTGAGAAGTGCTTTGTCAAGTTCAGAAGAGAAAAATCAGGCATGAAATAGATATCAAACTGTGTGTCCCTGAGTGCTAGGTTGTATAGGACAGTTAAATTGTAGTGGATTTCACATACAGTTAAAAATTGTTTAATATTAGTATTAGAATTGTCTATAATTAAGTAGTGAGATCATGGGTGTAGCTATTGAAAATTAAGATAGCCCCTTTTTTACACATTTAATTTTAATTTCTAAAAATGTACTTTCCACAAAGTAAGATAGTGATTTTACTTCCTGAATATAATAGAAGACTTTCTGACTTGTGATCTCAGTCATGAAGCTTGACATTGCATTTGATAAGTCCCCAGCATATCTAAAACTAACCCTGTTTATTCTTAAGCTGGCTTAATTTTTAAATTTTAAATATCTGTGGCATACAAGTAGAATTTATAAATCTGAGAGGCAAGAGAATTGTTTTTTGGTTTATTGAGTTAAATCAATGATGCTATTCAGGCCAGAAATTGAACTGATTATTGAACAAACTAGTTTATGAAAACCAACAAGCCTTGTCAAGGAAAGACTGGGTGTTCTCCAGAAAGGCTGCATGCAAAAAGTTTAGATGCAAGCTAGTTCCCTGGACTTTTTCTGGAGGCAAAAAGGGAATATCTGGCTCTGAGATAGTTCAGAATGTAGCTGTGTGTTATGTGAGGGACACTTGGCATTCTTTACCTTCAGGGTGGCAATTACCTTCACAATTGCATGCACATGGAGAAGAAAATATACTCCAAATTACATTGTGAACTCTGGAGATTAGTGCATCATTTCATGGACAGTTGAACCTGTGTCCCATATAAATGTTTCCGTAGTGAAAACAAAGAACATCATTATGCCGTCTTCTAGATTTCCAAGGAGTTTGCGTTAGAGTTTTGCCACCTGACTTCCATTACAGGGAATGGGAGTCAGGGGGCTGGAACCACAAGCCATGCTTTGAAAATTTAGGGGGATGTATCAGTGTCTGGACTTAAGCATTCATTCTTGTGCTCTTTGGTGGCAATTGAGTATAAGATGCATTGCCTCCTCCATGACTTTTGGGAATGGAATTACATACAAATTGTATCCGTGTAGTCAATATATATGGTATAACATATGTAGATATAGAGGGCTTTAACCCTGCAAAAGGAGTTTAACATGCTTTGTAGTTTCAAGTCAACCTCTGAATCCTTGACCCTACAAGAAAATTTAAATAATGACTTCCTGTGTCATTGAAATTATGAATTAAAGCAGTGTTTCTCATTCTGAGAGTTGTTATTGTCAGGGTGAAGAAAATCTCTGAACTTTAAGCTGCTTGATCAGGTTGGGAAGATTTCCTCTGGCTCTTAGCGACCTCTCCCCCATTTGACTCCCATTTACTCATATTCACTGTTCATGCTCTTCATTTCTATAACTCAGAGTTTGTTTATGAGTTCAGTTTCATAGTTGCAGTTCCATCGTGCCCTGAATGTTTACAATTAGAGATCTTAGAGTTTCAGTTATTGTGAGCTCTTTCTCCTGAATCCTTCCTTTTCTCCTACTCTCTTTTCTTAACTGAGTTCTATCTATTCTCCTTACACAGAAATCTAAGTGTGGTTCTGATGTGTAAGTGAATATAAAATGTTCAATAATTCTTATGCATTCTGACTAATTTCCTAGAGAGTACACAATTGTAAGACAATAATGAAGAAAATGAAATAGTACAAAGACTAAAGACCCAAAATCGGGGTACTTCCACGGCAGATGCCCAGATCTAAAATCTACTCCCCACTCACAGTTCCCCAGGCCTCTACGAATCTTACCTCCTATTAAGCCCTGGTTATTTGGGGGATTCTCAGACAAAGGCTGAATTCCTGAGTCTATTGTATACTTGCCACTCAAATGATCTCAACCACCACATCATTGTTGGAGTTGTTTCCTTTAGTCCAAGTTTATTGCTTGGAATTAAACATGGGATATTATAATTAGGTTTTAATAAGATATTATAATTAGGTCAATAGTCAGGGATTTAGTCTACAGGATTGGGGAGAGGACTCCTTAGTCTAGGAAATATGCTGTTTGAAATGTTCAAAAATATGTCTAAATCATAGAATAATAATGACTGATATGAAATGTCAGGGTCCTAATGGAATTCTCCGGCTCCAGTTACTCTTCTGGCAATTAATCAACAGTCAGGATAACCCTAGAACCTTATCCAACTTTGGAAGACCTGACATTCCAACCATCAAAGTGAAAGATGTTCCTTCAGGATTTGCCGTTATTTATCAGTCCACAATATTGTTTTTCAAAACATCATTGTCTGGAAACTCTGGAAGGCCTACGTGTTATCTAAGGCTGGAAGTGCGTGAGTTGGTCTCATAACAGTAATATTTTTAGTATAACAATGCTTACATTTATGGTACTGTGAAAACAGTCATTTCTATTTTATACTTTTTTAAAACCAACATTATCCTTTTTGAATTAGAATCATCTTATTCTGCAGTAGCAAATGGAGTGTATGGGCCAGGAAGTCTATATTCGGCAAAAGTAAATATGTATAAAAACTATTTTTCTGTTCTAAGCAATAAAACCACAATTCAAAGTTGCCTTCAGGTACACAGAAAGTATGGACTTTACTACTTCATCTTTTTCATAGCTGATTAATCTTCCTCTTGAGCCTCTGTCCAACATAAGGAAAAGTAGGTTTAGTAGAATACAATAGCCAAGGTCCTATGCAATAATTTAAACCATTTTAAGATAAAATATCCTGTGGTAGACAGAATAATGACCCGCCAAAGATGTTAATGTCCTAATCCCTGGAACCTGCAAATAATGCTACATTGCATGGTAAAAGAATCTTTGCTGATGGAATTAAAGCTACAGACCTTAAAATAGTGAAATTAAACTCTGTTAACCAGATGGCTCTCAGATAATAACATGACCCCTTGAAAGTAGAAAAGGAAGACAGAAGCATAGGACAGAGATACAGTGTAAGAGATACAAGGCATTGCCAAGTCAATCCTAAGCCAAAAGAACAAAGCTGGAGGCATCATGCTACCTGACTTCAAACTGTACTACAAGGCTACAGTAACCAAAACAGCATGGTACTGGTACCAAAACAGAGATATAGATCAATGGAACAGAACAGAGCCCTCACAAATAACGCCACTTATCTACAACTATCTGATCTTTGACAAACCTGAGAAAAACAAGCAATGGGGAAAGGATTCCCTATTTAATAAATGGCGCTGGGAAAACTGACTAGCCATTTGTAGAAAGCTGAAACTGGATCCCTTCCTGACACCTTATACAAAAATTAATTCAAGATGGATTAAAGACTTAAATGTTAGACCTAAAACCATAAAAACCCTAGAAGAAAACCTAGGCATTACCATTCAGGACATAGGCATGGGCAAGGACTTCATGTCTAAAACACCAAAAGCAAGGGCAACAAAAGCCAAAATTGACAAATGGGATCTAATTAAACTAAAGAGCTTCTGCACAGCAAAAGAAATTACCATCAGAGTGAACAGGCAACCTACAAAATGGGAGAAAATTTTCACAACCTACTCATCTGACAAAGGGCTAATATCCAGAATCTACAATGAACTCAAACAAATTTACAAGAAAAAAACAACCCCATCAAAAAGTGGGCGAAGGACATGAACAGACACTTCTCAAAAGAAGACATTTATGCAACCAAAAAAGACATGAAAAAGTGCTCACCATCACTGGCCATCAGAGAAATGCAAATCAAAACCACAATGATATACCATCTCACACCAGTTAGAATGGCAATCATTAAAAAGTCAGGAAATAACAGGTGCTGGAGAGGATGTGGAGAAATAGGAACACTTTTACACTGTTGGTGGGACTGTAAACTAGTTCAACCATTGTGGAAGTCAGTGTGGCGATTCCTCAGGGATCTAGAACTAGAAATAGTTTTTGACCCAGCCATCCCATTACTGGGTATATACACAAAGGACTATAAATCATGCTGCTATAAAGACACATGCACATGTATGTTTATTGTGGCACTATTCACAATAGTAAAGACTTGGAACCAACCCAAATGTCCAACAATGATAGACTGGATTAAGAAAATGTGGCAGTTATACACCATGGAATACTATGCAGCCATAAAAAATGATGAGTTCATGTCCTTTGTAGGGACATGGATGAAACTGGAAATCATCATTCTCAGTAAACTATCACAAGGACAAAAAACCAAACACCACATGTTCTCACTCATAGGTGGGAATTGAACAATGAGAACACATGGACACAGGAAGGGGAACAACACACTCTGGGGACTGTTGTGGGGTGGGGGTATGGGGGAGGGATAGCATTAGAAGATATACCTAATGCTAAATGATGAGTTAATGGGTGCAGCACACCAGCATGGCACATGTATACATATGTAACTAACCTGCACATTGTGCACATGTACCCTAAAACTTAAAGTATAATAATAATAAAATATAAATAAATAAATAAATAAATAAACTAAAGAGATACAAGGCAAGAAATATCTAACATATGAGACAGAACTGGGGTTCAATCATTATTAGCCTTCCAATTATTGGAAATATCTGATATTTTATCTTAGAAAAATATAGACACAACCTCCTTAGGTTTATGTATTGAAAACAAATTTTAGATTACTATGCAATGAACAAGTATGTTTGTAAGTCTTTCAAATACATACCTACACCAACAAAACATCAGTAATGTTTAGAAAAATTTTAACAAGATCTGAATGGGATTTTAGAAATGGTAGAAGTGGAACTCAATTACTGCTCATCAACAGAGTAGTAAAATTAAGTAATCTAATGAAAATGTTGGAGGGGGCAAGATGGCTGATTAGAAGCAACTGCAGTCCACAGCACTCACAGAGAGGAATGAAAGGAGTAAGTGAATTCAGCACCTTTAACTGAAATATCCACGTTCTTACATTGGGACTGAATAGGCAAATAATTCAACCCACAAAGAATGAAGAAAAAGCAGGGTGGGGTGATGGCCCATCCAGGAGCAGCACAGAGCCAAGGGAACCCCCACCCCACTTAAGGGAAGTGGTGAGTGACTGTGCGACCCTGCCCAGGAAACCATGCTTCTCTCATGAAGCTTTGCAACCTATGCATCAGATCCCCTCTTGAGCCCATGACACCAGGGCCTTGGGTCCAATACACAGAGCTGTGTGGGGTCTCTGAAGAGCAGCCGCTCAGGCACACACAGAGACCCAGGAGTTTTACATACTCTGGCCCCAGGACCTGCGGCAAGATCCATCCCTACATATCCCTAGAAAGGGGGCTGAATCCAGGGATCCAAGCAGCCTCATTCTGCAGGCTCCACTTCCACGGCACCTCGCAAGTTAAGATCCACTGGCTTGGAATTCTAGCCAGCCAAAGGCAACAGGCTAGAGTCTGCCTGAGTCAGGACTGAGTTCTTGGGGGAGGGACAGGTACCATCTCTCGAGTTTAGTAGATTCAGTCATTCTAGCCTGCCAGCTTTGGAGAATACAAATGTTTTGGACAAGGAAGGGCACCCCTCAGTGCAGCAAAGCAGCCTTGCCAGATCATGGCCAGACTGCTTCTTTAAGCAGGACCCTGATTCATTCCTCCTCAATGGGCAGGATTTCCCTGCAGGGGATTCAACCACTCCAGCTAGGGTTCTACAGACAGAGCTCTGATCACTTCCTGGGACAAAGCTCCCAGGGGGAGGGGCAGCTGCCATCTCTGAGGTTAGTGTCAATTCAGCCATTCCAGCCTGCTGGCTTTGGACAATACAAACAATTCAGACAAGGAAGGGCCCCCCCCAGTGCAGCACACTTGCTCTACCAAAAAGCAGCCAGACTGCTTCTTTAACTGAGTCCCTGATCCTCTTCCTCCTGACTGGGTGAGACCTCCCAACAGGGGTCTCCAGCTACCTCCTACAGAACCATTTGAGCCAGCAGCAAGTCACTACTGTGTTGGGATGGAGCTTCCAGAGGAAGGAGCAGGCTGTCGTCTGCATTTTGCAGCCTTCACTGGTGATATCTCTAGGTATGGGAAAAACTGAGGCAACTAGGGTCTGGAGCAGAACCCCAGCAAATCACAGCAGCCCTGCAGAAGAGTGGCCTGACTGTTAAAAACAAACAAACAGAAAACAACAACAACAACATCAACATCAACAAAAAAGACCCTACAAAAACCCCATTCAATGGTCAGCAACCTCAAAAATCAAAGGTAGATAAACCCATGAAGATGAGAAAGAATCAACGCAAAAACATTGAAGACTCTAAAAGCCCAAGCCTCTTCTCCTCCAAATGACCACAACACCTCTCCAGCAAGGGCACAGAACTGGGCTGAGGCTGATATGGCTGAATTGACAGAAGTAGGCTACAGAAGTAGACTTCAGAAGAACAAACTTTGCTGAGCTAGAGGAGCAGTTGTAACTCAATGTGAAGAAGCTAAGAATCATGATAAAATAATACAGGAGCTGATAGCCAGAATAGCCTATTTAGAGAGGAACATAAATACCTGATGGAGCTGAAAAAAACAACACAAGACCTTCACAATGCAATCACAAGTATCAATAGCAGAATAGACCAAGTTGGGGTAAGAATCTCAGAGCTTGAAGGCTGTCTTTCTGAAATAAAAGAGGCAGACAAGAATAAAGAAAAAAGAATAAAATTAAATGAACAAAACCTCTGAGAAATATGGGATTACGTAAAGAGACTGAACTACAGCTTATTGGGGTACCTGAAAAAGATGGAAAATGGAACCAAGTCACAAAACATACTTCAGGATGTCATTCAGGAGAACTTCCTGGATTTGAATTTGAACATTCAAATTCAGGAAATGCAGAGAACCCCAGTAAGATACTCCATGAGAAGGGAGGAATGGAACCAAGTCAGAAAACATACTTCAGGATATCATCCAGGAGAACTTTCTGAATTTGAATTTGAACATTCACATTCAGGAAATGCAGAGAACCCCAGTAAGATACTTCATGAGAGTATCAACCCAAAGACACATAATTATCAGATTCTCCAAGGTTGAAGCGAAAGAAAAAAATGTTAAGGGAAGCCAGAGAGAAAGGCCAGGTTACATACAAAGGGAATCCTGTCAGACCAACAGCGGACCTCTCAGTGGAAACCCTACAAGCCAGAAGAGATTGGGGGCCAAAATTCAACATTCTTAAAAAAAAGAATTTCCAACCCAGAATTTCATATCTGGCCAAACTAAGCTTCATAAGTGAAGGAGACATAAGACCCTTTCAGACAAGTAAATGCTGAGGGAATGTGTCACCACCTGTCCTGCCTTGCAAGAGCTCCTGAAGGAAGCACTAAATATGGAAATAAAAAACTTACCAGCCACTACAAAAACACACTGAAGTACACAGATAAGTGACAATATGAAGCAACCACATAAATAACTCTGCAAAATAACCAGCAAGCATCATGATGACAAGAATTCATACATAACAATACTAACCTTAAACATAAATGGGCTAAATGACCCCAATTAAAAGACACAGAATGGCAAGCTGGATAAAGAGCCAAGACTCACTGGTGTGCTGTCTTCAGGAGACCCATGCACGTGCAAAGACGCACATAGACTCAAAATAAGGGGATGGAGGAAAATTTACCAAGAAAATGGAAAACAGAAAAAAGCAGGGGTTGCAATCCTAGTTTCTGACAAAACAGACTTTAAACCAACAAAGATCAACAAAGACAAAGAAAGGCATTACATAATGGTAAAGGGTTCAATTCAACAAGAAGAGCAAACTATCTTAAATATGTATGCATGCAATAGAGGAGCACTCACATTCATAAAGAAAGTTCTTAGAGGCCCACAAAAAGACTTAGACTCCCAAACAATAATAGTGGGAGACTTTAACACCCCACTGTCAACATTAGATAGATCATCAAGACAGAAAATTAACAAAGCTATACAGGACCTAAACTCAGCTCTGGATCAAGAGGACCTGATAGATATCTACAGAACTTTTCCCCAAAAAACAACAGAATATACATTCTTCTCATTGCCATTTACTGTAAAAGTGATCACATAATTGGAAGTAAAACACTTCTTAGCAAACACAAAAGAACTGAAATTATAACAAACAGTCTCTCAAACCACAGCATAATCAAATTAGAACTCAAGATTAAGGAATTCACTCAAAACCACACAACTACATGAGAATTGAACAACCTGCTCCTGATTGACACTTGGGTAAATAATGAAATTAAGGCAGAAATAAAGACGTTCTTTGAAACTAATGAGAACAAAGAGACAATGTACCAGAATCTCTGGAATGCAGCTAAAGCAGTGTTAAGAGGGAAATTTATAGCACTAATTTCCCACATCAAAAAGCTATAAAGATGTCAAGTTAAGAACCTAACATCTCAATGAAAAGAACTAGATAACCAAGAACAAACAAACCCCAAGGCTAGCAGGAGACAAGAAATAACCAAGATCAGAGCTGAACTGAAGGGGATAGAGAAACGAAAAACCCTTCAAAAAATCCACAAATCCAGGAGGTTGTTTTTTGAAAAAAATTAATAAAATAGACCTCTGGTTAGAGTAATAAAGAAGAAAAGAGAGAAGAATCAAATAAACACTATCAGAAATGGTAAGGAGGATATTACCACTGACCACACAGAAATACAAACAACCATCACAGAATACTACAAACACCTCTATACATATAAACTAGATAATCTAGAACAAATGGATAAACTATTGGAGACATACACCCACCCAAGATTGAACCAGAAAGTAATTGAATCCCTGAATAGACCAATATTCATTCTGAAATTGAGGCAGCAGTAAATAACCTAACAATGAAAAAAAGGCCCAGGGCCAAACAGATTCACAGCTGCATTCCACCAGAGGTATGAAGAACTGATACCTTTCCTACTAAAACTATTCCAAAAAAAATAAAAAAGATGGAACTCCTCCCTAACTCATTCTATGAGGCCAGCATCATCCTGATACCAAAACCTGTTAGAGATACAACAACAACAAAAAGAAAACTTCTGACCAATATCCTCGATGAACATCGATGCAAAAATCCTCAATAAAACACTGGCAAACTGAATCCAGTAGCACATCAAAAAGCTTATTCACCATGATCAAGTTGGCTTCATCCCCAGGATGCAAAATTGGTTCAACATATGCAAATCCATAAATGTGAATTATCACATTAAACAGAACTAAAAAAGAAGAAAGACCACGTGATTATCTCAGTAGATGCAGAAAATTCAACATCCCTTCATATTAAAAACTCTCAATAAACTAAGGATTGATGGAACATACCTGAAAATAATAAGAGCCATATATGACAAACCCATAGCCAATTTCATACTGAATGAGCAAAAGCTAGAAGCATTCCCCTTGAAAACTGGCGCAAGACAAGGATGCCCTCTCTCACCACTCCTATTTACCACAGTATTGAAAGTTCTGGCAAAGGTTATCAAATAGGAAGACAGAAAATCAAATTATCTTTGTTCACAGATGACATGATTCTATGTCTAGAAAATCCCATTGTTTCAGCCCAAAGTCTTCTTAAGCTGATAAGCAACTTCAGTAAAGTCTCAGGATACAAAATCAATGTGCAAAAATTGCCAGCATTCCTATACACCAACAACAGGCTAGCAGAGAGCCAAATCCTGAATGAACTCCCATTCCATTCACAATTGCTGCAAAAGGGATAAAATACCTAGGAATACAGCTAATAAGGGAAGTGAAGTACCTCTTTAGGGAGAACTACAAACCACTGCTCAAATAAATCAGAGAGGACACAAACAAATGAAAAAACATTCCATGCTCATGGATAGGAAGAATCAATATTGTGAAAATGGTCATACTGTCCAAAGTGACTAATAATGTTTTTTCATTTGTTTGTGGTGAGAGAGGGCATCCTTTTATTTTGTTTTACTTTAAGTTCTGCGATACATGTGCAGAATGTGCAGGTTTGTTACATACGTATACATGTGCCATGGTGGTTTGCTGCACCCATCAACCCGTCATATAGGTGTTAAGCCCCAGATGCATTAGCTATTTGTCCTAATGCTCTCCCTCCCCTTGCACCCCCAACCACCCAACAGGCCCCTGTGTGTATTGCTCCCCTCTCTGTGTCCATGTGTTCTCATTGTTGAACTCCCACTTATAAGAGAGAGCATGCAGTGTCTGGTATTCTGTTCCTGGGTTAGTTAGCTGAGATTGATGGCTTCCAGCTTCATCCATGTCCCTGCAAAGGACATGATCTCATTCTTTTTGTATGGCTGCACAGTATTCCATGGTGTATATGTATCGCATTTTCATTATCCAGTCTATCATTGATGGGCATTTGGTTCCAAGTCTTTGCTACTGTAAACAGTGCTGCAATAAACATACATGTGCTTGTGTCTTTATAACAGAATGATTTATATTCCTTTGAGTGTATACCCAGTAACGGGATTGCTGGGTCAAATGTTATTTCTGGTTCTATATCCTTGAGAAATTGCCACACTGTCTTCCACAGTGGTTGAACTAATTTACACTCGCAACCACAGTGTAAAAGCATTCCTATTTCTCCACAGCCTCGCCCACATCTATTGTTTCTCAATTTTTTAATAATCGCCATTCTGGGTCATGTCCTATTTCCATAACTGGATTAGAATGTTAGTCACTGATGGTTTTCTGAAATTCTGTTATTTTAAGGAGGAAAACTAAAGATCCATGACCAAAAAATTGTAACAACACCTCAAATAGAAATAAGCACAGTGTTTCATTTGTGTTAACCAAGAAATATAAGAGAAAATTGGGTCAAAACTGTTTTCAAAAGCAAGGGCTGAGAAGAACTGATGTTCTTCCTTCAATTTTGTCAAAATTCCTACCTTAAGCCATGAAAAGATATATGTTTATTTGTTAGTGACCATGAGTTAAAAGGATTTATAATATTTCAGTGAACTCTAAATCATTTGGCATACAAGCATTTTATACCTTAATGTAATGTAAAACATTACATGAAAAGAAAACCTAATTCTGTTTTCCTTATTTTCTTCCTAATGTAATTTTCTTTTTGCGGTTGTTGTTATTTTATTTTAAGTTCCGGGGTACATGTGCAGGGTGTGCAAGTTTGTTACATAGGTAAACATGTGCCATGGTGTTTGCTGCACAGATCATCCCATCACCTAGGTATTAAGCCCAGCATCCATTAGCTATTCTTGATGCTCTCCCTCCCCTGACACTGCCTATCCTACAGGCCCCAGTGTGTATTATTTCCCCCAATGTGTCCATGTGTTCTCATCATTCAGCTCTCATTTATAAGTGAGAACATGAAGTGTTTGGTTTTCTGTTCCAGCATTAGTTTGCTAAGGATAATGGCTTCCAGCTTCATCCATGTCCCTGCAAATGGAATGATCTCATTCCTTTTTATGGCTGCATAATATTCCATGGTGTATATGTACCACATTTTCTTTATCTAGTCTATCATTGATGAGCATTTGAGTTGAGTCTATGTCTTTGCTATTGTGAACAGCGCTGTAATGAACATACATGTGCATGTATATTTATAATAGAGTGATTTATATTCCTTTGGGTATATACCCAGTAATGGGATTGCTGTGTCAAATGGTATTTCTGCCTCTAGGTCTTTGAGAAATTGCCACACTGTCTTCCACAATGGTTGAACTAATTTACACTCCCACCAACAGTGTAAAAGCATTCCTTTTCTCTGCAACCTTGCAGCATCTGTTGTATTCTGACTTTTTAATAATAGCCATTTCCACAGGCATGACATGGTGTCTCATTGTGGTTTTAATTTGCATTTCTTTAATAATCACTGATGTTGAGCTTCTTCTCATATGTTTTTTGGTCTCATGTATGTCTTCTTTTGAGAAGTGGCTGTTCATGTTTTTTGGCCACTTTTTAATGGGGTTGTTTGTTTTCTTGTTAATTTGTTTAAGCTCCTTGTAGACTCTGGATATTAGACCTTTGTCAGATGGATTGCAAAAATTTTCAGCCATTGTGTATCGCAGAACTTAAAGTAAAACAAAATTAAATTAAATTAAATTAAAAAAAAGAAAATAGACATGACCAAATGACATAACACAAATAATAAATATCAGTACTGAATTTATCCATTTTTCTATTTGGTGTTTATTTTGTTGCAATCTTTGTTGACGTGGAATTATTATGCACGCTTGTTAGAACTGGCAATAGGTGAGCAGGCTAGGAGGAATTGATAGCATTGATAAGTGTGAATGCCAATGATGAAAACTCATTAAAATAGAAAGAAGTTTGGGAGCATAATCATTTATGAAATGTATTCCTAAAGCTGGTCTGGTCTAATCTACAGCCTTGCAACAAAATGACACTTCATCATCCCACACCAATAATATCTTTCAGAATCTTAGCAAGAGATCCCACAGCTTCCTTAAATAACTCATTCCAATATCTTAAGATGCTCTTGATTCAAAAGTTTTCCTCTTCAGTCTTTTGCTGATGTGACTAGTATCTCTTCCCTGTTTTCCTGCCTTCATCAGAAATGCAAAATAACTACAACTCACTCCTAAAATCATATTTCTTAAAATTTTTGAGGACAAAATTATAGCAACATTACTGAATGTTATATTGCTAGAGACACCAGTACTAATTTGTGACTCTTTCTTATGAAGTATTGTGAAAGATAATACAATGACTACATGATTGTTTTAAAGAAAGACTGATCCACATCTCTCATGTTAGCATGAATTAAGTATGTTTGATCATTAGATGGGCTCTTTATGAATGAGGCACATTTTGAACCAGAGGTGAATTAAAGATGCATAGGGCATCCATGTTAGGTTAGTCAGCAAAACAATCAGTAACATGCTCACAGTTATTTTTTATGATCTATCAAATTGAATCACCAATCCATTAAATTTATACTTTAGCATGTAACAAATCTGTAATTAAACCAAACTAATTAACATTTTATCCTCATATGAAGAATGCATTTACGCTGTTTATATGGGATTATATTTGTAAGATTTTCTATAGACCATCTGTGTGGTCTCTTCTAAAGCGCCATCTATCTTGTAGCATGTTTCCTCTGCAAAAAAAATATATATATATATATTAAAAAACCAAAAACAAAACTGTTGTTGGTGCAAGAAATTTATTCACCACTAAAAAAACATTTTCCAATTTAGTAACAAAAAAGAGGTACAGTATATTGTCAACTAACTCTTACTGCCTAGAGAAAGATTGATTTTGTTTGCAAACCATATGTTTGATATCTAAATCATGTTCAGAGTCTTTTATTCATGATTGCAGATTGACACAGTCCTCCTTGAAAAAAAATGTATTTATCTTTTCCAGCACTCATCAAACACTAAATACCTAACTAGGTTGCAAGAAGAATCTTTAATTCCATCATTTTACTCTGGTAATTGCTTTTCCTTCCTTATGTTTAACCAGAGTAAATGAGCTATAATTTTAAATTTCTCTTGACACTTGCTATCAGATGCTGTATAAAACAAGAACAAGGTGAGGAGTGATGAAAAAGCCAACAGAAATAAAAGTCTTTTCTGCTACACACACACACACACACACAAAAGATGTTGCTTATGTGGATCAAAATGATTACTACAAAGACATCCAGAATTCCTTAAAATCACATTAATCCTGAAAAGCCCTAGACTCAAATCAGGGGTCCCAAACACCAATGCCTCCAGGGGTCACGTGTGAATTGAAGAGCAAGTACCCCATAGAAAGAGGGGGGCCATCTCAGAGCTCCCACTGAGTTGTTGACAGGTGAGGGTGTTAGCCTTTTGTGCCTAACTTCTATGTTTTCAAGAAAAACCAAAATTCAAGTGGTTTTGAAATATCTCTCTACTTTAAAATCTGGGCTACCTAGTCTGTTGTTGTTGCTGTTGCTGTTGCTCTTGTCATTGTTAGTAATGTTGTTATAATGCTATCCAAGCCAAGCAAAGTACATCTCTTCCTTAGATTTTGTTGCTAGGCAATATTATCAACTGTAGAATAGCCTTGCAAAATAGACTTTTTAACATGAAGAATTAGTTTTTCTGCCTTACATATATTTAATTAATATCACTGGCTAACTATTAGTGGGGAACTGGAAAACCTTCCTTTCAGTTGCATTTCTGTCACTAATTTTGAGGCTTATGGTGATAGCAACAGTAACAAGCACACACATTTATTAGGTACTTACTCTTTGAGTTCCCAACATGGTACTAAGTGCTTTACTTGCATTCTCTCATCTAATCCTTTAGACAACACTATCTGGGTTGTGATCATAATAACATTATTATTATTATTATTTTTTAGATGGAGTCTCGCTCTGTTGCCCAGGCTGGAGTGCAGTGGCCCGATCTTGGCTCACTGCAAGCTCCGCCTCCCAGGTTCACACCATTCTCCTGCCTCAGCCTCCCAAGTAGCTGGGACTACAGGTGCCCACCACCACGGCCAGCTAATTTTTTTGTATTTTCGGTAGAGACGGGGTTTCACCGTGTTAGCCAGGATGGTCTCGATCTCCTGACCTTGTGATCCGCCTGCCTCAGCCTCCCAAAGTGCTGGGATTACAGACATGAGCCACCGCGCGGCCAGTAACATTATTTTTATAACAAGAAACATTGTTGAGCACCTAATATGTGCCAGCCACCATATATGTTAATGTTTAAAATAGATGTAGTCTCTGCCATCCTGGAATTTTATGTCCAGTGGGGAACACAGACTATAAACAATAAACAATTGTGTAATACAAATCATTATAAATGTAACAAAATGTTTAAAGTAAGTTGCCTAACAGCACACAAGTAATTTATTGCAGAGAGAGAATTAAAATAATATTTATTGAGCACATATTATACCCCAGGCACTATGCTAAGTGCATTATGCAGACTTGCTCACCTGCGTCTCAAAACAATCTGAGTTAGGTGCTACTATTATTCCCATTTTTCAGACAAGCCACCTGAGGCATGAAAATAATTGAGTGAATTGCTCAAGGTCACACAGCTAGTAAGTGATGGAGCCAAGATTTGAATCTTATCAGCCATATTCTTAACCACAAACTATTCTGTCTTCCTTAAGCAAGTCACTTAGTTTCTCTGCAGGCTCAACTGTAAATTCCTCACCTAAGTTTACTGAAGTGTAAATTACATTTGGGTGTATGTGTGGGGAAGTGCAATGAAAGGAAGGGAAGATT
This sequence comes from Homo sapiens, assembly GCF_000001405.40. Classification (NCBI taxonomy): domain Eukaryota; kingdom Metazoa; phylum Chordata; class Mammalia; order Primates; family Hominidae; genus Homo; species Homo sapiens. Next base: position 37,273,473 of record NC_000015.10, on the reverse strand, counting down.
GGACTCGATGATTTATAAGTTGTCTTTCTGATCTATGATTTAAATTTTAAATTTTTGGTGAAGTATGTGGTTCAAGAGGGTAGCGCTTCTGCATTGAGGTTTTTGGTAGGGTTTTTTGGTTACTGTATTCAAAAATTTCTGGAAATAAATGTAGTAAGTGAGATTTTGTTGTAAAGCCATTCTTAGGCCAGATATGCCTAAGAACTGCATTTTTATAAAGCTTAGTTTTATAATCCTTTAATGTCAAATCCAACTAACTGCTCTTTCTGGTTATTAGCTAGGAGGCTTACTTATCAACAACTTTTTAATTTCTTCCATACTCTGGACTCTTAAGTCATCCAATGTCTTTCATTTCTCTCAGTCTTCTTAAATACAAACTTGTGTTACTATTTAGTTCAACCACCCCAAGTTTTTAAAAATTAGTTGTTTATATTTGGATTAAAAATATCACAAGATAATTCATGATTTACTCTAAAGGATGGCAACTCGTCTATGCCACAGCATCCTTATTCTTTTGTTGATAGAAATTCAACAGAATATTATGAGAATTTAGATATGCAAGAAATAATTTCTATAAATGCGTGTTGTTTAAAAATAGTACTGAAATGAAGTTTGGACATGAAATGATCAAGTTGATATTGTTAGGCTTTGTGTGTCCCCACCCAAATCTCAACTCGAATTCTAATCCCCATGATCCCCACCTGTTGAGGTAGGAACCAGGTGGGAGGTGATTGGATCATGGGGGCAGTTCACCCATGCTGTTCTTGTGATAGTGAGTGAATTCTCATGAGATCTGATGATTTTATAAGGTGGTTTTCCCTGCTCTTGCTTGCTCTTCTCCTTCCTGCCACTTTGTGAAGAAGGTACCTTGCTTCCCCTTTGCCTTCCTCCATGATTGTAAGTTTCCTGAGGCCTCCCCAGCCATGCTGAACTGTGAGTCAATTAAACCTCTTTCCTTTATAAATTACCCAGTCTCAGGGAGTTCTTTATAGCAGAATGAAAATGAACTAATAGTATAATATCAATTACATATAATGGGAAAGTATTTTGAATTAATGTATATACCAGTTATTGCCATTCTTTATTAAATTCAAAAGCCTTTTGACAAATAAATAGCAATTTTTTAAAAATGGGGATATATAGACACACTGTGATCATTTAGGTTTGGCTACAAGAGTTTTACCAAAACTATAACCAATTCATCAATACATTCTAAAATGTGTCTTTCCTTGGTACTACAAAAGAAACTACTAAATACAGTGTTTGTCAGCATCACTATATCTTGTCCAGCAGGCAAAACACTTGGAAATAAAATTATATATGTATATAAACACATATATGTAATTTATATACATAATTCATATGTATATACAACTCATATATATACGAATAAGCTTAAAATAAATTGTCATGTAAACAATGGCTATAAAATTCTAGTGCAATCGTGTGTGATCTACCTTTATGTGAAACAAAAGGTTTTCCTTTTAATTTGTCAAGTAATATTCTCCTGAGATGTCACATTATAAGCAGCATTCCCAAAGGATATTTATTTAGCATAGGCCAGTGAGAAAACCTAGGTTATGGCAGTTTATGTTGATGGTTCTGTATCCATTCCAGAGAATTTACTCGCAAGAGAATAGTCATATAGAATTCAATTGCAAAAGCACAAGTGAAAAGAACATCTGGCTCTTTACAAGGCCTCAGAGGAAGTGACCTGATATGATGGGAGTCATTAAAATCACAAAGTCCTAATGCATTTTAGAAGAAATTGCACACTATGAACTACTAATTAAAATGGTCTCCAGGGAAAACCATTAAACTTATGGTAGATCAACATTCATTATTAACATTTGATGTTTTGTGTCTTCTCAGGATACTCTGGTGAAGTCTTTTATGCTTTGATCAAATCTCTCCTTATAAAAATACAAATGCTTTAATATATTGCTAACACTGGTCTCTAGACATCATAATTAAATTTTAGTGAAATGAAATTATTCACCTGTTAGTTACCTGCAGATTTTAAATAGCAATGTACATGTTACATTCCAGTACGTAGAAGCTGGTAAACACCTAAGAATTCATTTAGTGCATCTTGAAGAAACCGCAGCCCAAAGACCTACTAATGCATTTCATAGCACTCTTCATATTATGTTGATTATGAGTTGGAAATATCTGTTTAATTCCAGATTTGTCATTTAACAATGTCCCTGGTATGTGAGGAACAGACTCTTCCTTGGGCTTGTATCAAGTTCTGGATTCTCTCAACCAAGGGGAACGTGGGGCATTTAGAGGCCTCAGAGGAGAGAAGTACTCATAATTCACATTGAACTTAACAGATTAGTGAAGACTTAGGAAGTATTGAGCAGAAAAACTCAGGTGAAGATTGATTCGTTGGGGCTATGTAATAATTTATAAACACTATTATGGGATGTAGAGGTTTCTCTTTTTGCTCTTTGACTGTGGTTAATAGAGGACAGTGGCCAACTATCCACTCAAGATAGAACAACAAATGTTGAAATTAAACTGCTTTAGACAGTCTCATGCTACAGGTAAGAAGCAAATTTATAAGAGTTGTTAAATGTTAAATGAATCTAAACTCCTCATTAGAGGTTCTTATAAATGTAAACAGGATTGCTTCTCACTAGTCTCAGACATCATAGAGGTCACAGCACAGGCCACCTCAGTCACTTTTTAGATTCTCATGTCCTTCCACTTTCCTAAACGTACTCTACAATGTAGTTGTGTGAAACTTCCAGCTACTGCATAATTTTTTATGCCTCTGAGTGTTTGCACAAACTTTTTCCTAGCTACTCACTTCTCCCCTTGAATACTTCTGCTAATCTTTCAAGATGTAGATCATATATTATCAGCTTTCTGAGACCTTCTCTGACTCTAGACACTTTCTTTTTCTTTTGTGGGTACTGTGCTTATGAAACTCTATTGGCATATAGGTAACATATATTATAGTACTATTATGTTATATATGTAATAAACTATGAAAATATTTATAATAAATATAGTAAATGTAGGACATGTCTTTGTTATATATTTGTTTCTTTTCCTAGATTTGACATATTTAAGAATAAGGACCATTTCTTCTTCTTCATCCTCAAAATCCTGGCTTTTAGCAAAATAACTAGCAGATGGCAGGTGCTAAATAGCTATGAACTGTTGCATTGCCACTATTATTAGATGCTCAATAAAAATTGGAGGATGAAACGATAATTACTAACAAATAGCCCATATTTGCATAAAACTTTATAATTTGTGTAATCCTTCAAATACTTTACTTTCTTTGATATTCAAATAACCCTGTATGGTGAACAAGAGAGAAAATGTATTCATTATACAGATGACAGTACAAGAGGAAGGAAATATAGGTGTTAACTACATGGGATTAAGATGTTTCCTAGCTTGGAAAGTCTATAAAGGAACTGCTGCCCTGGTAAACATCGTAAGTTATATACCTACTTATCTCTGCTCTCTTCTGTAATCTCATTTAAATGGTAATTAAAATATTTTAAGTGTGAATTTAAAAATGAAGAAATAGGGAGAAATTATGACCATAAAGATGGTAAAACATTGTAGACTAGATAGCAGTAACTGCCCTTGCTGGCCTGGAAACCTAAATTTCCAGGTCAAAGAATTGGAAAGAAGAGATGAACCAAAAAGAAGCCAATTCCTACTCTGGACCCTTGGAAAAGCCGCAGGATTTGAAACACCAAATGTCTTTGAAGATTGTGCATGGTAAGGCTGAAAACACAAGAACTTGAGTGGAAGATTGTACACAGAGCAGCCAAGTTTCCCGGATTCCCTTCCCTGATCCTCTGCTGATCCCAGCATAAGACTGGAGATCTATATTCTAGAGCTAGATTTGATGTGGACTTTGTGATGGTAGGTATGAGCATCAGGGGAGATGGAGCTGAGCAGGGTCTCATTCTTAAAAGAATTATGGAAAATTCCGCATCTGGAAAGAGGAGACTATGGAAGTAGTTAAACTAGTAAACTGGGAGGAGGAAAAGCTGTCACCAGAGAAAGTGACATACTTGAACTAATAATTTTGGAGTAAGAGGAGATTCAGGTGATGCTGAGATCCGGGTGCACCAGTGGGAGTACATTGCTCACGGGAAGTGGAGACAAAGGTCCTTGGAGACATAGAACTCTGGGTCTGACAGGCCAGGGGATTAGATGCACCTTCCACTTGGAAAAAAAAAAATCACTTGAGATAATGATGAGATTTTAAAGCTTAGCATTCTTCAGTTGAAAGCAACAGTCTGGTAAATTAATTAAGTACACTGATACTGGTAACTTGGGCAGAAAGGAAGAATTCAATAGAAGGATATGTAGAAGAACTTATAGATCCAAAGGAAAAGCTGAAGATATTTTCTTCTAAAAGAATAGAAACCAGAATGGCTTCCGTGAGTCTTTTCAGAACACCATTTTAGAGGAGACTTAGCTTATCCTTGGGAAATTTCACTTAAAGCTCAACATTCCCAGCGAAAAAAAGAACCAGATTTGCCTAGTTTGAATCCTGTGCCCCTTGGCTGGTAAAGGGCAGGCAGCCTTGACTGATATGAAGAATGCACACAATGGGGGAGAAGGAGCTACACCAAGTAAATTGTGTGCTATTACTGGAAGAAGAGGGAATCGTTGCTGGGCAGACAGAAGTAACAGATGTCCGCTACAGATGCCTACTGGTGGAATATATGAATTTTATTCTAACTTTATACAATAAATATTCATCTGTGTAAAAAATTTCCATATAATAATGAGTAAACTCCTAAACTTTCTCTTATTCTTTCATTTCAATTGATGACAATAATCTTAAACCTAAAATTTTAGTGTGATATTCTAAGAATGCAGGCCTTAGGTTTTAGAAAAGAAATTTTCAGGAAAAAAAAATTTAAAGAATGCAATTTTATGAAGTGAAAAGGAAGAAATTTTAAAAATCTCTTAAGATACCATTTTTGATACTTCTCTTGATTTGTACCACATAAGAAAAAGAGAGATATATTTACCAAAAAGTTAATAGTAATAAAAAATACCCAATAATAAAACAGGTCTCAGAGTTCATATTTCTTCATGAACTTTCAATTTATGTATTTTATGCTGTCAAAAGCAATAGAGTCAGCTATGCTTAAGTTTATGGCTTTGAGAAAGCCTGATAAGATTGGACATTTAACAAAACTTGTGACGGCATCAGGATGAAGCCCACCATTTTCTTGTGTCTTGCTGGCCCACAGCGACTAATTTAAATGTTTGTTCATATAAACTAAACTGGTAGCAGGAACAAATCACTTTGATTGGTTTACCTGCTTACATAAGAAGCCAAACCACCAGGAAGATGACAGCCAAAAGTTGATAGATAAAAATGTCAACAAACTCTCTTCCATTTTTTGAATTTTCATTCAAGAGTAAAGACAGTTTCACTGTAGTTTGTAGTTCCTAACTTTCCTACCTGTCATCTAACATTGAATAAATGTTATTGATGCACTATGGTATCCTAGGTGCTAGTTTAATAAGTAGTTAGATAATGAGGAAAGAAAACAATCAAGGGTACTTTCAAACATACTTCTGGTAACCTAGAGATCCTGCCTTTTATTCCCAGTCTACTCTTCCTAAGCTAATTTAATTTATTTATAGTCTGACCAGTCTCTTGTATATGTATTGACTTGTACTGACTTTTTTTGTCTTTTTTTCTATTTCTTATTTCTGTCAGCATTACAAATGTATTATTTACATGCAACAAAAATTACCAATTTTAACTTATCAATTTTAATTCAATGAGTTTTGACAAATGTATATAGTCATATGACCACTACCATAATCTTGATCTAGAATATTACCATCATTATTCCTGTTCTTCTTGCAACCTCTACCCCTAACCCCTGGAAAACAGTGATCTGCTTTCTGTGGGTGATAGTTTTGGTTTTTTGTTTTAATTTAGCATAATGCTTTTGAGACTCATCCATGTTACTGTGTGTAGCAGTAGTTCATTCCTTTTTATAGTGGATGGCATTCCATTTTATGAATATACCAAAAATAGTTTGTGCATGCACCAATTAATGGACATTGGGTTGTTTCCAGTTTGAGGCTATTGTAAAGAGTTGCTATGAATGGTCAAGTACAAGTATTTATGTATATATAAGTTTTCATTTCTTTTGGGTTAATACCTGGAAATGGAGTTTCTGGGTCATATGATGAGTATACCTTTTGTTTAAGAAACTGCAAAACTATTTTCCAAAGTGGCTGTACCATTTTTCATTTACACCAACAATGTATGAGAATTCCAGGTTTTCCATATTCTTGCACTTACCGTTTTATAGTTTTGACTTTTATAGTTTGTTAAGTCTATGATCTTCTTGAAGTTAAATTGTGAATATGGCCTGAGGTAAGAATTAAGATTCTCTTTTTTCTCTCTTTTTTGGTACATGTGAATCCAACTGTTCAATCACCATTTGTTTATGAGATAATTTCCCCATTGAATTGTCTTGGCACCCACCTTGAAAAATTAATTAATCAACTTCTATTCCACTAACCTACATTTCTACCTTTATGGAAAACCACCTGAATGGAAAGCTGAGGCTTAATATTAGGCCTTAAAATTAGGTAGTATAAGTTTTGGACTTTACTTTTTCACAATTGTTTTGGCCATTCTAGTTCCTCTGCATATACATGAAAATTTTAGAATCAGCTTGTACTGTCTTTGAAAAAGTCTGCTAGACTTGATTAGAATTAAGCCAAATATGTTGATCAAATTGGGGATAATTAATCTCTTAATAATATTGCATCTTCTAATCCACAATCATGGTATCTCTATTTGTTTGAGTTTTTTTAATTTCTCTCAGAAATATTTTGTAGTTTTCAGTGTACATGCCTTGCAAATATTTTGTCAAATGTATCCTCAGGTATTTCATGTTTTTGTTTGCTATTCTAAATTATATCATTCCTTTATTTTCAATTTTCAGTTGATTGTTGCTGATCTATATAAATAAAATTGATTTTTACGTTTTAACCTTATATCATGCCACATTGTTAAATTTAGATGTGTGTCCATTCTTTTATAAATTCTTTAGAATTTCTATACAGATAATTGAGAAATACTTTTATTTTTTTCTTTCCAATCTGTAGATGTTTATTTCTTTTTATTTCATTAAAGTGCTGGCGAGGAATTCCAGTAAAATATTGAATAAAAGTGGTGAAAGTAGTCATCCTTGCTTTGTTCTCAATTTTAGGGGGAAGCATTTAGTATTTCACCATTAAGTATAAAGGTAGTTATAGATTTTTTCCATAATTGCCTTTAGCCAGACTATGTTCCCCACTTCTTAGTAGGCTTGAAAGTCTTTACCATAAATGGATTTTGAATTTTGGTAAACGCTTCATCTGCATCAATGGGCTGATCATACGGGTTTCTTTTCTCATCTGTTAATATAGTTAATTACATTGATTCAGTTTTGAATGTTAAACCAACTTTACATTCCTAAGATAAACTCCACTTGGTCATGATTAATTATCTTTCTTATATATTTCTAGGCTTTATTTGCTAATAGTTAAGACTTTATTTTCATCTATGTTCATATAGAACACCAATCTCTAGTTTTTGTTTTTTTTTAGTGTCTGTCTTGTTTGCTCTCAGAGTAATACGGGCTTCAAAAAATGAGTTGAAAAGTGTTTCTTTTCTTTTTTTTTCTATTTTTGGAAGAGTTTGTGCACAATTTCTTCTTTAAATGTTTGGTAGAATTTGTAGTGAAGCCACTTGGGCCACTTGGGTTTTCTTTGTGGGAAGATTTTAACTACAAATTCACTTCCTTTAATAGGTAAAGGACTGTTCAGGTAGTTAATTTCTTCTGGAGCAAGCTTTGGTAGTTTTTGCCTTGCAAAGAATTGGTCCATTTCCCCTAAGTTGTTAAATTTATTGACATAAGCTTATTCATAGTATACTCTCATTATACTTATATCTGAAGAATGCATAATGCTATTCCTTCCTGATATTGACTATTTGCATATTTTCTGTTTTCCTGATAAGTCCACTAGAGGTTTATCAATTCTATTGATCTTTTCAAAGAAATAGTTTTTGTTTTCATTGATATTCGCTCTTGTTTTCTAATTCCTTGATTATTGTCCTATATTTTTTATCTTTTTCTTTATGCTTACTTAATTTACTGCTCTTTTTCTAGTTTCTCAAAGTGAACATTTAGGCCATTGATTTGAGGCTTTTCTTCTTTCTCAATGTGAGCATTTAATGTATTAAATTTTCCTGTAAATACCTAATTAGCTACACCCCACAAATTTTGATATGCTATAATTTTTTACTAAGTTCAAAATATATTCTAATTTCTCTAGTAATGTTTCTTTGACTCAGTTATTTAGAAGTAGGTTATGTAATATCTAAAGATATGAGGATTTTCTGTATATATTTCTGTTACTCATTTTTAATATAATTCCATTTTGGTCAGAGGACAAACTTTGTATGATTTTAATCCTTTTAAACTTAACCAAACTTGTGGCCAGAATATGATGTATCCTGATAAATGCTTTACGTGCACTTGAAAATAATGTGTATTCTGCTGCTGTCAGTTTTCTATAAAAGTCAACTAGGTCAAGTTGGTTCACACTATTCAAGTTTTCTACATCCTTGGTAATTTTCCGTCAACTTCTTCTATCAATTATTGAAAGAGGTCAAAGAAATCTCTGACTATAATTTTGGATTTGTCTATTTCTCCCTAGTTCTAGAGTACTTCTTTAGAAAGAACAGAAATGGGAATTTTCGTTTAGAGGATAATAGTAGTTTAAATGTTGAATAATACTGGGATGTTTTTGTTGTGTCAATAAAGTTTCCCTCTTTTACATTACTTCAGTTTTGGTAAGCAAATCAGATTCCCAATTCATTTGTCTAAATGTGAATTTTTATGAACTGCTTGATTTTATAATTTCCCTTAAGCAGAAAAATTCAAAGAAAATTTCAATAACTATAAAGTTCTGGAGAAAATTATATTTCTGGTATCAAGATTATTGATTCTTAATGTGGAGGTAGGTATATGTTCATAAATTGATTAACTCAGGAATACCTTTGTATGCCTCCTAAGTAGAACCAAACGTGTGTCAGATATAAATTTCACCCTAGAGCAGTTTTTTTGGACTTAAGACAAAACACAGTATGAGCACCAGCATGATGTGATTTGAAAAATTCTGGGAAAGTCGTTCCTCGACAGTTGCCTTTTTTTTCTACTGATTGGTTGTCTGAGTCCATTTGGACATCTGTAACAGAATATCATACACTGGGTGGTGGTTTATGAACAATGGAACTTTAATTCTCACAGTTTTGGAGATTAAGAAGTTCATGATCAATGCACAAGCAGATTTGCTATCTGGTGAGGGCCCACTTTCTGGTTCAAAGATGGCTCCTGCTCCCTGCATCCTCACATGGTGAAAGGGGCAAGACCACTCTCTAGGGCCTATTTATAAGGGCACTAAATCCGTCCATAAGAGCAGAGCTCTCATGACTTAAGCACCTCCCCAAGGCCTCACCTCCCAATTGGCATCACACTGGGGACTAGGTTTCAACGTATGAATTTGGGGGAACATAAGCATTCAGTCTATAGCATAGGCTAAATAATACACAATTTCATTAGACATTCTGATTATTAAGGAAATATTTGCTGTTAAAATACAAATACTCCTTGGAATGAGAACACACATTTTCATTTACCAGCAATTATATGATAAAGGATGAGTTTCTCATGTGCCTTCCAACATGAAAAGTTTAAATATCTCACTTCAGAGTGGCTATATTTTGATACTTGAGTGGGAAAATTTTCTGGAACAGAGGGGCTGGCCAGAAAACACAATTAGTTCTGACAGATATGGGACTTTGGGGAAGAGAAGGAAGAAACAGCTCAGAATGCCTGGGGTCTGTGTGAAAGGTTGGATGGTTGGGTAAGTGAGGTATAAATGTAAGGGAAATAAAAGAAACAAGTGAAAGTCACCAGGATTTATTCAATCAATATTTAAGGAACATCTACTATGTTCTAGAACATAGCCACTTATGCATACAGCAGTGAGCCAAAGTCCATGCTCTCATGGGATATGTATTCTGGCAGGGAATAATGAAGCTAAAAAAATAAAAAAAAATTATGTAATATTTCAAGGGTCAAGTGTTACGATGGATGTGAAACTGGTGGTGGGAGGAAATGTTATTTTAGTTCATCAGGAAAAGTCCCTCCAATGAGAGAGCTCAATGAGGTGAGGGAGCAAGCTTTACCAGTATCTGGGGGAAAAGCATCTAACGCAAATAGAATAACAAATTCAAGATCCTTGTTTTGGGGTGGCGGGGGTAGAGGAATGTTTTTTACATGTTGAAGTAAGAGCAGAGTCCAGTGTGGCCAGGGAACAGTGAGTGAAATTGGAGAGGTAGAAAGGGACCAGGGTAAACACTTTGGATTTTCTTTTCAGTGGGATGGAAAGCCACTGTGGGGGAGAGCAGAGAAACAAGATGATTATATTTATGTTCTGTATGGATCACTCTGTCTGCTTATGGAATAGAGAATAAAGAAACAAGAGTGAAAACAGAGAGACCATCTTGGAGGCTGTTCCAATAGTCCTAATAAGGGATGATGGCGATTTTGACTAGAGTGATAACTATGGAAGTGATGAGACATGATAAAATTCAGGATATATCTTACAGGCATGTATATAGATTGAGATAAATTGACAAAGAATGAAAAAATGAAAGACAAGCCTGACCTTTTTCACAATTTTGTTAGGGCTGGCAAAATAAGATTTCATTTCACATGATTTTGGCAGCATATATTGAGATTACTTTCAGTTTGAAGGTTGTATATTTTGGAGAAAATGCATGGTTCTAAGACCCTCAGAAAGCATGTAAAAATTGCACTTTGGTACACTGAATAAAGTATGTAAACTACCATAGCTAAGAATGAGAATATTTTGATAGCTTGATAGCTCTGACAAATGGTAATATATAGACTTATCCGTTGTGATATATGCTGTCACTGAGCTGCTTGAACTAGCTGAAATCCCTTCTCAGCAATATTTCATCTGGTTGGATTTCAGTACTGAACAAGGGCTTCACTGTTTGTGTAACTTGTCCCCAACTTACCTGGCCATATCCTCCCCAGCATGTCCTGAATGCAAAAGTCCCATTGTGCTCCTTGTCATTTCCTGCTTACCAACATACTTTCCACGTTCTCTTGATGTTTCCTCTGCCTCCAAAGCTCTTCTCCCTCTGCTCCACAGGCAAAATACTTTTTATTCTTCAAGAATTATTTCAAAGGTCACTTGACCTGAGAAGTATTTCTAAATCCACTTTTCTCTGCCCACCTTCTAATCCCAGGTAGTTTTTTCTTCCCCACTTCTCCATACAAGATCTGTGATTCGCTTGGTACTATATGTCACTCCTCCAGCACCACAACCTCCCTAATTGTGAGACCCAGCATCTACAATACTACCTAAGATGTGGTGTAACATTCAGTACTAATAATAATAGCATCGAGTGTTTTACGAAGCACCAGGCACTGTGCAATGCGTAACCTAATTAATCACCACAACAAGTCCATAGGTCAATTGTTTATCTCTTTTGAGGAAACAGAACATCAGAGGCTGCAAAATTCTGCCAGGGTCACAGCTGACATGGGCAGGGCTGACATTCAGATCCAGAGTATCTTACTTTCCAGCCAAGGCTCTTAATCAGTAAGCATAGTCCCTCCTCACAGGATGGCTACATGGAATTGAATTATGCTCTAGATTGTGTCAAGGAAATAACAGAGTCTCCCAATGTTAGTAGAATGTCTTCTCACAATGAAAGATGAAGTTTTCTCTTCTATAACATCATAGATATATCCAAGTATAACAAAAAGTAGCTTTGGAGATTTACATGAAACACCAAATTCAATCATCAATCTGTCAGTTTAAATTTTTATACAATGGTAAAACATATCACAGCACTTTCTAGAGAAATGCTTACCAATTTAGATTATGAGGAGATGCATATAATTACTTGAAATAAGTCTTGAGAAACATGCTGAGTAGGGTTACTAAGTTGTTCTAATTCATAACTTGAGTGAGATAATCACAACAAAGGGAGTAAAGGCACATTCAAGTATAAAAGTAGATTGGCTTGGTCTTCCTCTTTGCTTGCTGGAAATGGGTTTTCCAAATGGAAGAGATAAATAGCCCCCACATCAGAAAGCACTGCCATGAAATCTGTCACTTGGCTAGAGAGAGAGCTGCAGACAAACCCTACTTGAAAATCAAACCTCCTAAATTGAGCCTCAATACATTCAAGAAGAATGAATTCAATAGATAAAGAAGACCTGTATATTGTCAAAATACAAATATCTGATCCTGCTTTAACTGCATTTCCAAAGCCAAGATGAGTATAGGCCCCGGAGAAACAATGATGAATGGCACCATGTCTTTGTTGCACAGAAGCCACAGAAAATAGGATTGTGCAAGAAGTAAACCAGAAGATCCAAGTCAAGTTTCATCATATAGATGTACTAGAAGAGAAAATGACTAGTTGAAAAAAATATCCTCAAATAGAGTTTGTTTGTCCCACCTCAGCCAAAAAGTACTTTCTTGTGGCAATCTTCTCTCATCCTCCAACTGGATTAAATCTATTGCTATCTATGCTCATCTGTACTTTCTCTCAGCTACACTTATCACAACTGTATTTATATTGACGTGTTATTGGTACCATTGTCAAGACCATCCTTCCTCCTCTGGCCCCAGTAGACTAGGTTTTAATGAAGTAGACATCATATCCTGGCTTGTTCATCATTGTATTTTCAGTTTTTCACACTGACCCAACAAGATAGGTGCTCAAAACTTACTTGACAAATCAATAATGACTATTGCCATGCAAGCCCTAGATGATGTAGACAGGAAACAAAGGTATGATTAACTTTAAACACTAACACAGAAACAGGAGCTAAAATTAACAGAGAAAATACAATTTCTAACTCTAGAGCTTAGGGTCACCTAGAACCATCACCACTGAGCCCACTTCCAGTTTCTAGTAGCACCTTTTATATTTAGATCTGAGTCAGAGAGGGGGAGCAAAAGCTCTGTTAAGAGGCTTGCAGTCTTACTCAGAAATGTTACCATGTTGAAGACCTAAAGAACTTCCTAAAATATTTACAACATAATTTAGATTATTTGAACAGAGTTTTCTTAATAATTTTTAAATTTTTTTAATCCAGAATTGTTATATCTTTATTAAAAATGAGTCAAAATTGAAGCTATACCTAGGTATGTATGCAAATGAGTTACATTGTATAGGTTGCTTGACAGGCTAAACATGCCAAACACGTATGTTGCAGCTAGTAACTCTCTAGGCATGCTATGAATTTATGGTGTTATATACGTTGCAATTATTGATTTACATAAGTATTGCAATTTCTCTACTAGTGTAACAGATTTTAGCTTGAAAGGACCGTAAACTGAGAGGCTCACTGTAGTTTAAAGCTGGCAGCTGGTGAGAAGATGAATTCTAAGCCAGAAGAAAGAGCAGGCAGGAGGCTCCTGCTGTTTTCTAAAGAGAGTGTCCCTGGGTGATACATCTGCTATTGAAACATCAAAACACATTTCATTGTGGGATCTTCCAAACATACTTAATCCAGATATCTTTGATTTTATGTGGCAAAATGAAAAGACATACATTTTGCATTTCCTATTATTAAAAATGTCAAACTCTCTAAGCAAATATTGACTTGTGTGGTAGGTAGAATAATGGCCCCCAAAGATGTCCATGTTCTAATCTTCAAAACAAACGAATATGTTACCTTACGTGGCAACAGGGACTTCTCATATGTGATTAAGTTAAGGATCTTGAAATGGGAATATTATTCTGAACTAGATGAGTCTAATATAGTCACAAGAAGCCTTACAAGAGGGAGGCAGAAGGGTCAGAGTCAGTAGGAGATATGAGGATGGAATCAGAGATAAGAGTTGTGGCATTGCTGGAGTGGCCACCAGACACAAAATGAAGGTAGCCTCTAAAGCTGGAAAAGACAAAGAAGGAATTCTCTCAGAGTCTTTAGAAGGAACTCGGTTCTGATGACACTCTGGTTTTAGCCCTATAAGACCCATTTTCCAGACTTCTGACTTATAGAAAGCAAGATAATTTGTGTTATTTCAAACCACTAAGTATGTGGTAATTGGTTACAGAACCAAATGAAAACTAACACAATTCATAATTATGTTGTTGACCTCTATTATCTCTAGCAATAATTCCTTTTCGTGGGTACACTTTATTACTGCACATTTTATTCTTAGTCTTACTTTAAGTGATTCAGTTCTTCTGCATGATAAAGTGATCTGGGAAGACAAGACATAGTGGTCAGTAGTAAAACTACAAGTAGAATGTGTATTGAGCATTTACTACATTTGTGTTACACCCCATAGTCAACACTATGTTATACTGTATTTACTGTATTATTCCACTATTTTAGGTACTATAAGGGAAGAAAAAAATATGTCATTTTTTCCTTTGCCAAAGCTTACAACCTTGCTGGGAGACACGATAAATTCACACATGAAATAATTGTGTTACCTCCAGGGCCCCAAACAGTCTTGCAAAATACGACTAACATAGTCCCAAATGTAAGGGTTCTTAGAATATTCACCCTAAAAAGGTAAGCAAATGCTCTCCTGGTTCATAAAACCATACCTACCCTATAAGTCTCCTGAATAGGATTTAATTTATCTCCTTTTAATTAAAAAAATTTTGTGGGTACACAGTAGGTGTACACATGTAAGAGGTACAGAGATATTTTGGTACAGACATGCAATATGTAATAATAACATGATGGAAAATTGGGTGTCCATCTCCTCAAGCATCTATCCATTGTGTTACAAAAAATCCAGTTATATTGTTTTAGTTATTTTAAATGTAGAATTAAATTATTATTGAGTATAGTCCCCTGTTGTGCTATCAGATACTAGATCTTACTCATTTTTTTCTACTTCTTTTGTTTTACCCATTAACCATCCACACTCCCCACCAACCCCCACTACCCTTCCCAGTCTCCAGTAACCATCCTTCTATACTCTATCTCCATGAGTTCAATTGTTTTGATTTTTAGATCCCACAAATAAGTGAGAACATACAATGTTTGTCTTTCTCTGCTTGGCTTATTTTACTTAACATAATCATCTCTACTTCCATTCATGTTGTTGCAAATGACAGAATCTCATTCCTTTTTATGACTGGATAGTACTCTATTGTGTATATGTAGCACATTTTCTTTATCGGTTCATCTGCTGATGAACACTTAGGTTGCTTCCAAATCTTGGCTATTGGGAACAGTGCTGCAATAAACATAAGAATGCAGATATCTCTTCAGTATACTGATTTCCTTTCCTTTGGGTATATACTTGGGAGTAGGATTGCTGGATTGTAAGGTAACTATATATTTAGTTTTTTGAAGAACCTTCAAATGTTCTCCATAGTGGTTTACTAATTTACATTTGCACCAACAGTATATAAGAGTCCCCCTTTCTTCACATCCTTGCCAACATTTGTTATTGCTTGACTTTTGGAATGAAAGCCATTTTAACCTGGGTGAGATTAGATCTCACTGTAGTTTTGATTTGCATTTCTCTGATTATCAATGATATTGAGCACTTTTTCATATTCCTCTTTGCCATTTGTATGTCTTCTTTTGAGAAATGTCTATTCAAGTCTTTTAAATCAGATTTTAAATCAGATTATTAGATTTTTACCTATAGAGTGGTTTGAGCTCCTTATACATTCTGGTTATTAATCCCGTGTCAGATGAGTAGTTTACAAATATTCTCTCTCACTTTGTGAGTTGTCGCCTCACTTCATTGATTGTTTTCTTTGCTGTTCAGAAGCTTTTTAACTAGATGTGATCTCATTTGTCCATTTGTGCTTTGGTCACCTGTGCTTCTGGGATATTCCTCAAGAAATCTTTGCCCAGGCCAATGTCCTGGAGAGTTTCCTCAATGTTTTCTTGTAGTAGTTTCATAGTTTGAGGTCTTCGATTTAAGTCTTTAATCCATTTTTATTTGATTTTTGTATAAAATGAGAGATAGGGGTCTAGTTTCATTCTTTTGAATATGGATACCTGGTTTCTACAATACTGGTTATTGAAGAGACTGACTTTTCACCCAATGTATGTTCTTGGCATCCTTGTCAAAAATGAGTTCACTGTAGATGTGTGAATTTATTTCTGGGTTCTCTATTTTGTTCCACTGGTCTATGTATCTGTTTTTATGCCAGTACCATACTGCCTTGGTTGCTATAGCTCTGTAGTATAATTTGAAGTTAGATAATATGATTCCTCCAATTTGTTTTTCTTTTTGTTCAGTATAGTTTTAATTATTCTGGGTCTCTAGTGATTCCATATAAATTTCAGGATTGTTTTTTCTACTTCTGCGAAGAATGTCATTGGTTTTTTTTTATGGGGATTGCACTGAAACTGTAGATCATTTTGGACAATATGGACATTTAAACAATATTGATTCTTCCAATCCATGAACATAAAATATATTTCCACTTTTGTGTTGTCTTCAGTTTCTTTCATTAATGTTTTACAGTTTTCATTGTAGAGATCTTTCACTTCTTTGGTTAAGTTTACTCTTAGGTATTTTATCTTACTTTCTCTTTTCCTTTTCAGATTGTTTGCTGTTGGTATACAGAAATAGTACAGATTTTTGTATGCTGGTTTTGTATCCTAAAACTTTACTGAATTTGTTTATCACTTTGAACAATTTTTTTTTGGTAGAGTCTTTAGGTTTCTCAAATATAAGATCCTAACATCTGCAAACAAGGAAAATTAGACTTCTTCCTTTCCAATTTGGATGCTTTTATTTTTTTCTCTTTTCTGATTGCCCTAGCTAAGACTTCCAGCAGTATGTTAAATAACAGTGGTGAAAGTGGGCATCCTTGCCTTGTTCCAGATCTTAGAGGAAAAGCTTTCCATTTTTCCCCATTCAGTGTAATAGTATGTATGTGTCTGTCTTATATAGCTTTTATTATGTTGAGGTATGTTCCTTCTATACCCAGTTTTTCGAGGTTTTTATCATGAAGGGATGTTGAACTTTATGAAATGCTTTTTAATCATCAATTGAAATGATCATATGGTTTTTTTCTTCATCCTGTTGATATATCATATTGATTGATTTGCATATGTTGAACCATTCTTGCATCCTTGGGATAAATCCCACTTGGTCATGATGAATAATCTTTGTAATGTGT
This sequence comes from Homo sapiens, assembly GCF_000001405.40. Taxonomy (NCBI): domain Eukaryota; kingdom Metazoa; phylum Chordata; class Mammalia; order Primates; family Hominidae; genus Homo; species Homo sapiens. The sequence continues at coordinate 37,256,231 of NC_000015.10, read as the reverse complement.
TGTCAAATTCAATTTTCTGGTATTTTGTTGAGGATTTTTGCATCAATGTTCATCAGGGATATTGGCCTGTAGTTTTCTTTTTTTTTTTTTTCTTTTTTTGATATATTTTTCTGGTTTTGGTATCAAGATAATACTGACCTGGTAAATGAGTTTAGTAGTCCCTCCACCTCTACTTTTTGAAATAATTTGAGTGGAATTCCCTATGTATTTGGTAAAATTTAGCATTGAAGCCGTCAGGTCTTGGGCTTTTCTTTGCTGACAGACTTTTTATTATGTCTTTGATCTTATTACTTGGTATTGGTCTGCCCGGGTTTTGGATTTCTTCATGGTTCAGTCTTGGTAGGTTACATGTGTTTAGGAATTTGTCCATTTCTTTTAGGTTTTCCAATTTATTGGCATATAACTGCTCATAGTAGCCTCTAATAATCCTTTGAATTTCTATGCTATTAGTTGTAATGTCTCCTATTTCATCTCTGATTTTATTTATTTGCCTTCTCCCTTTTAGTTTAGTTAGTCTGGCTAAAGTTTTGTCAATTGGTTTATTTTTTCAAAAACTAACATTAGTTTCATTGATCTTTTGTATTATTTCTTTTCATTTCAATTTTATTTATTTCTGTTCTGATATTATTTCTTTTCTCCTGGTAATTTTGGGTTTGGTTTTCACTTGCTTTCTTATTCTTTAAGATGCATCATCAGTTTGTTTATTTGAAGTTTTCTACATTTTTTTGTATCAAAGTTACGTTTAATAAAGTAAGTTCCTTCCATTTTACAATGTATAAAATAATCATATACTATTTCAACAGGCAGAAACTAGCTAATCTGCATGTATAGAACATAGTTTTTTAGGTGGGAAAAACATTCTTTTATCATTTCATCTTTACTACTTAGAGGAAACAGATTTATGATGATTCTAACTTATTATTTTTCAACTTTAGAATTATTCATTCAGTAGAAGCCATACTTCAAGTCCTCACACAACCATCCACCATTCTGTTTTTCACTTTCAGCATCATCTTCAAAAATTATATGAGATAGTCAACACACTTTATTATAAAATAGGATTTATATTAGACAATTTTGCCCAACTGTAGGCTAACGTAGTGTTCGGAGAACTTTTAGGGTAGGCTAAGCTATGATGTTCAACTTTTGCTATTTTCAACTCACAATGGGCTTATCAGGACATAAACCCATCGTAAGTTGAGAAGTATCTGTATACCCAACACTGGTTGTGTATACTTTCATTAAATACTCATTTGAAAAATAAAACTTTCTTCACATCAACCCTATGATGTAGGTCTTTAATTTTTAAAACTGCAAAACAGGTTCTAAGATGAGCTCTTACTGATTCATATAGTATAGTATCACCAAAACCACTGCTTATGACCTCTCAAATATTCCACACATCAAGGCTGGGTGCGGTGGCTCATGCCTGTAATCTCGGCACTTTGGGAGGCCAAGTCGAGCAGATCCCTTGAGGTCAGGAATTCGAGACCAGCCTGACAAACATGGTGAAACCCCATCTCTACAAAAAATACAAAAAATTACCCAGGCAGGTGGTGCACACCTCTAGTCCCAGCTACTAGGGAGGCTGAGGCAGGAGGATCACTTGAACCCAGGAGGTAGAGGCTACAGTGAGCTGAGTTTGCACCACTGCACCCCAGCCTGGGTGACAAGGTGAGATCCCATTCCCCTACAAAAAAATATTCACATATCACCCAGTATTAAGGAAGGTCATCATTCCAAGAGGTTTTTCTGAAATAATCTATTAAATTGCAATTTATAAAGAAGAAACGTTTATAAATTTTTATGGTTTTAAATTTATAAATATAAAAGTATAAATTCACATAGAGCTGTTTAAACAAGAAGTTTCCCTCTGAGAGGATTATAAATGATGCAATCTGCTACATGTGATTTTAAATAAAGAAATCATAAATTATACCTAATGTGTAAGTATAATAGAATCAATTTTTTATATTTAAATTATCCTAAAACCTATTGAGTGTGAATACTCTTAAACCTTCCTTTTTTGTTTATGCTTCTAGCTGAGAATAGAAAAAGAGACGGAGGCTTCAAATGACTGAAATTCTTCAGATGGTTTCTTGTGACCACTCGTAAAGAAAGTATTTTTCTCCAGAGTCCAAAGGCAAGATAAAAAGTCTCTGACTTGAAATCAGAACCGATCTGCTGATCTGCTAGCCACAGCTCGTATATTGCCATAAACCTTGGAAGGAGGATTTCCCAAGATTAGGTTGCAAACGGCAGTTCTTGCCATCTTGATGTTTTGGAAGGAGCCAAAGATGTGAACTTTCACATCAGCCAAAACTGTCCGCGTCCATGTCACATTCTCTATGGTAACCTACTCTTGAGCCAATCACTGAGTTTCAACCAATGAAAGGCAGCCAATTATTTAAACTGTGTTCAAATAAAGCAAATGCCAAGCTGTAACCCATCCGGCTATTTCCATGCCTCACTTCCATTTTCTATATGTCACTTTCCTTTATCTGTTCATAAACCTTCTTCAACCATGAGGCAGGCCAAAGCCTCTCTGAACCAATTCTGGTTCAGGGGCAGTCCAATTTGTGAATACATCTTTTCTCAATTAAGCTCAGTTAAATTTAATTTATCTAAGGTTTTCCTTTTAACATGAATATATATATATATATATCCATGAATACGTATGTGTACACACACACACACACACACACACACATACATATATATATATATATGAATTTCTGTCTGGTATATACCTAGGAGTGAAATTGCTGGATCATGCATTCATGAATGATGGCATTTTTTTCAACTAAATTAAAAAACTATAGTAAGTTCTCTATCTGGTTTTATTTTGAACATGGAAAACTCAAATAAACACCCTCTTCTCTGCCAAGGCCAAGGAACAGGTTGCAATTCTAATTAATTGAAAATAAAATATTTAGTGAGAAGACAGTTTGTGAAGAGGTAAAAGTTTAATGTCAGAAAGTGAGTAATGGGTACTATATCACTCAAGGCTCAATCAGAAAAGCAGAATGGCTAGAATATAGATAGACTGATTGATAGATTTATTACGGGGATTTGACTTCATGCAATTATGTGAGCTAGCGAAATAGTCTCTGAAGGCTGTTGTCCTGTCTGAGACTGGAGCTTGAAGTTCACAGAGCAGCACATGGGGAAGGGAAATTGATTTAATGTGGTGAAAGCAAAAAGCTAGAAGCCACAAGCACGAGTTGGACCTTATTATAAGGACAGACTGAAACCCATGTCGCTTCTCATGGCCTCTGACCTTGATGGCCTAGGTTTCCTGAAGAAATTGGGCCCTTCCTCAGTAGTTAAATACATGCACACCTGCCCGAGGAGTCGAGAAGCTAAAGGATGATCCCAAGAAGGTGGAGCCAACAGATAAGCCACAAGTGTGTGAGGATTACAAAATAGCTGCTGCTTTTCTCCCACCAGCTGCTCTCTAGTGGCCTTCTACCAGAGCTTAAGATGCACAGAGAAGAGTTCAGCCTCGCCATGTTGAGGCATTACAAAACTACCAAGGTGAAAACTGAGAAAATGAAAGTAATTGGGTTAGCTGCCCTTTAAGAAACAGAAATACAGCCTGGGCAACAAAGCAAGATCCTCTCTCTCTCCAAAAAAAAAAAAAAAAAAAAAAAAAAAAAGAAAAAGAAGAAAGGAAAAGAAAAGAGATTTTTTATAAAACTCACAAGCTGGAGAAAGAGTCACTCTTTTCCCAGGAGTAAAAATAAGACTTCTTCCTGCTCAAACTCTGTGAACATATTTTAGTCTTCCTCATTCTCCTTCACGTTCCTGCAGCATTTAACACTTATCAACCAATACCAATTATTGAAGGCTGTTGTCTGGTTTTGTTCTGCTTTTGTTTTTTGAGATGAAGTTCACATAACATAAATCATTTTAAAGTGAATAATTCAATGGCATCTAGTACATTCAGGTTTTTGCAAACAAAATTTCTAAGTAGTTACAAAACAACATTCATCACCCCAAAAGTAAACCCCCTTGGCCACAAAGCAGTTGCTAGCCATTTCCTCCACTCCTAATTCCTGGCAACCAACAATCTCCTTTCTGTCTCTATGGATTTACCTATTCTGAATATTTCACATTAATGGAATCATACAATATGTAACCTTTTGTGCTTGGCTTCCTTCAGTTATCATAATTTTTAGCCACATAGTAGCATGTACCAGTATTTGATTCTTTCTCATAGCTGAGTAATATTCCATCGTATGTATATGCCACAGTTTGTTTACCCATTGATTTATTAATGCTCACTTGGGTTGTTTCCATTTTTTGGCTATACGTACTTATTTGCTGCCACCTGTTTTTAACTATCAGTTCTATGTGAAGTAGGAAGATACTTAATTTTTAGGCACACACTACTCAAACAGCAAATGTTTTAGCTTGTCTTACAATTAGCTTTAATCTAATAGATTAATTTTAATCTAATGAAGCTGGCTTCTAGCCAATGGGATATGAGGAGAAGTCATATATGCAACCTCTGGGAGGCATCTTTCAAGGGAAGAGAATATTCGTCTCTTCTTTGTTTTAATTTCAAAAGTCTACCCTAAGAGCACTGAGCTTCTCTTATCCTAATTAAATTTAATTCTGCTTGTCACGTGTAACAATTTCATTTACTGAAGATGATATTGGATTCTGAGAGTATTTCTGAGATAGTACCACCCTGAGGTTGGAGAGCGTAAATTCAGGCAGCTCTACAGACTCTCATGCCAGTCCTTCCCCAGTCTTCTGTCTAGCTTAGTAAATCTCATTTTTCCATACTTACTAATGAGCATATAAGGTCAAACAAAATTTTTTAAAACCTTACTTAATATGGATTAGATCTAACATTTCCCTTTTTTTCAGTCTTATCTTCTTTTGTAAGAGATTAGACTTAGATAACAAAGGGTATAACTATATACACTATACTGTTTTTCATATTTCTGATGTTTGCAAATTAATTTAGCAATGGTTTCTAAATTTTTTCTACTAAATTACATTAACATAGTACACTTTACAATTTTTTAAAGTCATAATAATGAAAATGTTTTCATAACAAAAAGTTATTCCAACCAATATTTAGTCCAATGTAATTTCACTACAATAAAATAATGTAAACAATTTAAAAGTTATGCCTACTTATCTATAAATTCTAGGGCCATTCTGGTATCCCAGAGTGGTTTTTTTTCTCAAATGTTCAGATATTCATTAATTAAATCATTCATTTAACTATCAAATATTTGGGAGCAGGCTAGGTGCTCACGGTTCCTTGTGAATAAGACTTACTCCCTGATCTAAATCAGTGAGGGAGACAGATAGACAAATATGCAGCCCGTGGACATATGAGATAGGTGCTTAATGGAGGAAAAACAAAGTTCTGAAAAGAAGCACAGAGATGCAAGCAGCTAACTTTATTAAGTAGCAAAGAGGACTGATTTGAAAAGGTTTTGAGATGGAGTGAATTTGGAATTAGAAGAAATTTAGTACCTGGAGACAAGGGGAATATATCCCAGTCATGGGGAGCAGCATATGCTGTGTTTATGAATGGCTAGTGTTTTGGTCTGATCATAGCAATATTTGTTCTGAGTAAGGAGACAGAAGATGGGGGGTTACAAGGTAGACTGGATTTAAGAGTAAAGACTGACTCTTTGGTATAAGACTTATGGAGGAAATAGGGTAACTAGCTAAAAATATCATCCACCACATCTCAGAAAGCCTTTAAGGTGACTTTGGCCAAGTTTTCAACCTTTAATCAGGACTTGTAAAATTGAATTAATAAATCTACTTCATTTCAATAGTTTTCCATTAAGTGTTCCCTCACACCTGCTTGGATCATCCCCTTCCAGTCTTTGTATTATTTCTCCTTATTTCTTTTTTCTTACCTAATTCTTTTCAGTGAAATAGCTCCCTTTTAAAAGCATTAAACGCTTCTGTCTTTCTGATGCTTCATAGTTTTAGATAATACTTGTGAAATACATTTTCTTGAGGTGTTTTGGGGAGGTGGTTAAAAATCATTTGACTCAAATTTCTTTCCCATTGTGTGCCCTTCAGTCCTGGAAATATAAATCCAATTTGTAATTACTCCAATAGTCTCATTTCAGAAACTTTGCCTGACACACCATTCCATATGTTTATGATTCTCTGAATGAAAAAGTGTTCCCTGACAACCATTCAGGTTTTTCCCTTTAATTTCCATTTATGCCTTATTGTCTTATAATGTTCAACTGAAAATATATGTTACAATATTGTGTGACATTATCAGTATTACTTAAGATTTTATATACCCATATATCAGCCAAACATCAGCTAAATCTCACTATTCTCCTTTCGACACATCTTCCTTCCTGGGAGAGTACAGGTAATAGATTCAATTTCTTCTTCATGACAAGTTGACTTTAAGCATTTCTTACAAACTGAAGATGAGATTCAATTTGCATTTTGGTCTGAATTATTTTTAAATGTGAACTGGAAATGGAATTTGGCTTAACGCTTGTGCAATTAAAGCAATGGTGCTAACTGCATTACTTTTAAGACGAAACTTATTTCAGGGTTGATTTTAAGAAGAGTGTCAAGCCAAGACACAAGACTAATTGGAAGGTCTTGCTAATAAATAATGTTGTTAGAAAAAAGGGGGTATTCTGATGATTTGTAATCCAGCAATAATGGCTTCTAAATAGTTAAGATTAGTTTGAGAGATGAGAGCCTTTCCACCCTCTATGCCATATGCCAGCAGGGAACAAAAATCAATCTTGTGAGGACTCTGATTACTTCTGCTGCAAGTTTCTTGTCAGCAGATTCAAAATGTGCAGGGCAATGAATCTTCCACAAGGTAGAGGTGCTGCCCATCAGCTAGAAATCTTTTTTCCCAACTTCTGGTAGAACATCTGCTTGTGATAAATTAGGAGGAGAGGGAAAAAAATAGAAGACCATTTGGTTCAACAATTTTAATCCTGTGTTATCAGTACAGAGAGAAAGTGGCACTAGTTCCTATGGCTTTGAAATGAAAAATGTACCGTTGGAGAGAAGAAGCTTAAAACTTAAGGAACAAATAAGATAATGATCTCGGTCATCTTAAAATACTATACTGCTTAGTAAATGATCAAGGGAGGCTCACATTAAGAACTGAGACCTGAATTAAATACTAATGTCTGAAGCAAGATGTCTAGATTTGGGTCCACATTGGAAGCAATGAGGAAAGAGATATTGAAGTTTATAATAAAAGACACAGGGATTGGAGCAATGAGAGGAATAAAGACAATGTGGTAGGCAGAATAATGATTTCTGAAAATGTTGATTTTGGCCCGGTGAGACCCACATGAGACTTCTGACATACAAAACTGTGAGATAATAACTGTGTGTTGTTTTAAGACCCTGGGTTTGTGGAAATTTGTTAGAGCAGCAATAGAAAACTAATGAGATAAGATATAAGAATATGAAACAACAAATAAAAGTTTAACTGTGTATTACAAATTTCCCACATTATCATTGCTCATGGAATGCTGTTATTGCTTATGAAGATACTTTGGAACAACCTTTTTGGTTGTTTCTGGTTATCTTTAAATAGTTTTCAAATACATTAAAATTATACATGCTCCATGATCTAGAAATTACACTTCTAGGAACTTAATAAAATAATTAAAGATGTGTGGAATGATAATATACAAAGGTGTTTGTAATAGCCTAAAATTGAGAATAGCTTAAATGTTTCACAGTGGGGGTAATTTGGATACATTTTGGCATACTCTCAAGCAGCGTACTATGAAGTCACTAAAAATTAGTTAAATGAAAACATTGAAATTAGAAAAATATTCTCAACATATTGAGTTGACATCAGGTATAAAATGTTATACATGGTGTGATAATACTAGTATATAATATTAGGTATGCTGTTGTGTGATATTGGTGTGATATATCTACAATCACACCAATACTTTATACTGATTTTTCATATATATCAGCAACTATATACATGAGTAATGAGCATGGGTGTATGGAATGTATTTTTATCTTATTCTTAGATTCATAAAAACACAACAAATTTATCTTTAGATATAAAATTTTTCTGCCTATAGATGTGCATGTGTGTATGTATGCATATGTAAAATTTTATGTATCTATCACTTTTTAACCAACTGACAGTAGAAGTACAAAATATACAATAGTCTGTATATTTAAGCTGTCCTCTACCCAAAGTTGTGAAGTCCAACTCATTCTGAAAAGGGAAAGTCTCTACTAAAAAATAAAGAAACTCAAAGTTATAGTGAATTGTATAATTTTTTTCTCTGGACCCAGGTCACTTAAGCCCAATGTCAGTCATCAAACAGTTCTTTTAAAAGCCTGCAGTTGGTGGGGTGTAAAATACTAAAATATTTCCAGATAACAATTTGGAAAAATATAGCAAAAGCCTTGAAAACCAATACTTTTTAAACAAGTAATACCATTTTTAAGAATCTAATGAAATAATAAGCAAAGGTTCTTACAAATAAAAAACAATTATTGATGACATATTGATGTAGAAAAAATAGGAAACAGTCTTAATGTCCAGTAAGAGGGGAACTGAGTAGTAATTTAAAATAATATTTTCAAAGAATAATACTTGGGAAAATGTATTCAATATGCTGCTAAGTGTGTAAAAGCAGGCTGCAAAATTAAATATACAACATAATTCCAAATTAGAAAATAGAAAAACATACCAAATGTTAAGAGCAGTTATCTCTGAGTAATAGAACCAGGTTTTAGATTTTTGAACCATGTGGGTATTTGTGTGTATATTGGGGCTTCCATTTCTTGAACCAGGTGCATATATTACTTTTCTCATTAAGAAGACAATGTTTGCCAGTCAGAGTGCCCCATACCTTCTGGAAGTCAGTTAGATTATCTACCAGAATCCAATTGAAATTGGGAAGTTCCTTTCCCCCTTGACCTGCCTGCCTTGCCAGGCCCTGATATTTGGTAGTCCTTGATAGTTCATGACTTTGACTTGAAATCTCTCACAGAGTCCATGGAAAATTCTTTTTAGAAACACTAAGAAAGACCCATGAGCTTTCTTTAGGAAATGCATCCTTTCCTCCCAGACTGAATCTGACACTTGGCCACAGCAGAGGCGTCCAGCATAGTGCTAGTAACAGAGCGGTTAGAGCTAAGACCTAAGGCACACTCTGCAGTAGTGCCCAGCGGGGGGTTTGCCCTGGGCCTCAACTTTGCCTTAGGAACAGCCCACCACACAAGAGAACACTGTTACAAGTTTGTCACCAGGTAAACAGATATCCTTTATATTGTTTCTAGCCATCACCAGCTCCTGACTGGTCAGAAGGATCTCAATTTGAGATTTATCTGTCCCAGGTTCTGATTCTCTCCTGGGTCTGACATGCTTCATCATTTGTGTTTCCAGCAATAGGTATTAGGATGCAAACTGGTACATTGTCAGGCCTTTTGAAAGAATGAGATTAAGAGCCTTGAGAATGTATTTTCTCCAGTAGCTAAAAGACAGGGCCTCCTCCTCCACATGCCCCCTTGCACCTCCAGCACAAACCCTTGCTCGTAGTCAGTACTCAGTAAGCATTTTTAATTAATCGAATGACAAATGGTACTTTTAAAAGAATTCTTTAAGGAGTTTGTAATGGCCACTTTCAGTGTGTATATGTGTATGTGTAGGGTTATAAAGTCCCTTTTATTCTAATGGTCATGCAAGATGGAAAAAAGTAATAATGTCTTCCTTTTTCAAGGGTTTACCGAGCCTCAGATAAAAGGAAAGAAATAATTCCATCTCATTCTAAGGAAACTACAGAGACTCAGTTCAAGAGATCAAAGCTGCATTAACTCTTCCAGTTACTGCCATTTACCATTTACTATCATTTAGTGCTCTGGAAAAGGTAATCTACTAAATAGTACCCAAGTGGCCTGGCAATTTATTAAGTGAGCAATTTATTCTTTTCTTGCTGCTAAGATCAAATCTTTCACCATTCAAATTCTCCACATTCCTCAGCGATAACAAGGTAGGAAAATATTCTTGTCTTAGAGATAGGAAAACTAAGGCTTAGTCTTGAATCAAATCAGCACAAGAAAATAAGAAGAGAAAAGGATTTTCCATTGCTCATCCTAATTCTCTAGTACACATTCTTTCTTTTCTAAATTCAGAATTCAGCTGTAGCCTTCTGTTTTACCAAATCTGTATAAAAGAAGAGCTGCCTTTTGGACTCCATAATAGTGCCAGTTCGCAGCACTGTAAATAGAGCATTGGTAGAGATGGGGGAAAAATTGATTAATTCAGTCAATAAAGTGATAAACAAGAAACAGTAAGTTATTAAGCCTCATGAGGCAAGGAGGAGGTGAAAGCATTTAAATATATTTATTCTTTGCTGGCAGTTATCAAAAGTAAATATCCCAGCTGCAATCACACTGATACTAAAAACAATCCATTTTTAGACTTTATCCATGCCTTCTGCTGTTGTTCACATTAGGGGTGAGTGATTCCCACCCATCCCTCCCCGACCCCTAGTCAGATTGAGGTCACATGGCCTCATAAAGCAACTTGCCTCCACTCCAAACTTTGAAGAAGTTGTCTGTGACATTAGAGCCAAGACAGTAACAAAGCTCCTGGACTGCTTTATCATGCTATCTAGGGCTTCCAGAGGTCCTCCTGCTTCCTGAAAACAGTAGCAGCAATACCCACAGATGCCTGCAAACTTCATAATGACATTATCTTATATGATTATCACGAAAAATCCTACAAGACAGGTATTATTACTGTCATATAGATGAGAAACATGAGGCAAAAAGAACTACATAATGTACCCAAGTTCACAGAGTGAGTAAATGATGAAGCCCAGCTTTAAAACCAGGCCTATAAAATTCCAAAACACATCTCTTTGTACATCTCTTTTTATAGATGGCACATCTGTGTTTTACTAAACTGCGTGGACTTTTCCAGTAAAAAGTTGAAGCAATGTCCCAGAACTTGAATTCCATTTTACCACACTCCTCAAAAGAGTAAGAAAGCATAGAGTAGCAATTCCTTGGGTTGTTGTTGCCCAGACACAGGCCATAGTCCTCCAAAATGAACCAAATTATATGTTCATTAAAACATTTCCAAGGCCATGTGCAGGAGCTCACACCTGTAATCCCAGCACTTTGGGAGGTTAAGGCAGGCAAATCATTTAAGCCCAGGAGTTCAAGGTCGCCCTGGAAAACATGGCAAGACTTTGTCTCTACAAAAACTAAAAATAAAAATTAGCCAGTCACAACATAATAGCACACGCCTGTAGTCCCAGCTACTTGGGAGGCTGAGGTGGGAGGATTACTTGAACACAGGAGGTTGAGGCTGCAGTCAGCCATGATCATGTCACTACACGCCAGCCTAGGCAACAGAGCAAGACTCTCTCTCAAAAAAAAATAATAATAAATTCTAAAATCTGACTTATGCTACAACATGATACAGCAAAGCTGATATTTGCTGAATGCCAGAATTAGAAAATACATTATTACATTACCTCCATGAGATCAGTAAACTATGTCCTCAGCTCATAGAGGAATTTTTAGCACATAATCTGCCTTAAATGACTACCATGTTGAGTATATAATTTTTAAAAGAATATACACAAAAGCTTTAATGAGGATGTCTACTGTCTATTGTTATATTCTTTAAGTAACTTGTTTACTGGTATTTATCAAAATCTTGTTGATTTCCAAATTTCACTAACATGCCAAAATCAGTAACTAAAATGATGCATGTCAGAGTGACTGGTGGCCTCTCTGACTCACTTCCCATCACCAGTAGAATAAATCACATTAATTGTAGACCCAGGTTAATTATATCTGCAGTGGTCCCTCCCTATCCCTGGGGATATGTTCCAAGACCCCCCAGCGGATGCCTGAAACCATGATAGTACCATTTTTGTAGATTCTGTTTTCTCCTATACATACATACCTATGGTAAAATTTAATTCAGAAATTAGGTCCAATAAGAGATTAACAACTAGAATAGAATAATAATAATATACTGTAATAAAAGTTATACGAATGCATTCTTTCTTTTTTCAAAATAACTTATTATACTGTACTGTGGGTAACTGAAACTGCAAAAAGTGAAACCGCAGATAAGAGGGGACTACTGTATTAGCAGAGCCATGCCCAGGGTTTTATGTAACATCCAAATACAGTATAAAATATACTTTTGGAAGGATATATATGAAAATATGAATAGTAGCTATACCTCCGTGTTCAAATTGCTACTTATAATGACTGTTTTTTAACCTCCTTTGTATTTCTATATTTTAACAATCCTTTTGTAATAATTTTTTTTTATTTCCATAGGTTATTGGGGAACAGGGGGTGTTTGGTTACCTAAGTTCTTTAGTGGTGATTTGTGAGATTTTGGTGCACCCATCACCCGAGCAGTATACACTGCACCCTATTTGTAGTCTTTTATCCCTCACCTCCTTCCCACCATTTCCTCTTGAGTCTCAAAAATCCATTGTGTCATTCTTATGCCTTTGCATCCTCATAGCTTAGCTCCCACTTATGAGTGAGAACATGCGATGTTTGGTTTTCCATTCCTGGGTTACTTCACTTAGAATAATAGTCTCCAATCTCATCCAGGTTGCTGCAAACGCTGTTAATTCATTCCTTTTTATGGCTGAGCAGTATTCCATCATATATATAGCTCTCTATATAGATATAGATAGATATAGCTATAGATCTATATATAGATATAGATATATAGATCTATATATGTAGATAGATATAGCTATAGATCTATATATAGATAGAGATCTATCTATATGTATATTTCTATATAGATATATAGATCCATCATATATAGATCTACAGATCTATCTATATATATAGATGGTGGCACATCATATATAGATCTATAGATCTATATATGATGGATCTATATATCTATATAGATATATACACTATATATGTATGTATTTACACATATACATATGTATTTACACATATACATATGTATGTATTTACACATATACATATGTTTGTATTACATATATATCACATATACACATATGTATATATTACATAGATACATAGATATATACCATATATCTAGATATATATACTATATACATATGAATATATTACATATCTAGATATATATCTAGATATAAACACTATATATGTATATACATATATTTGTATATATACATATGTATATATGAGTGTATACACATATTTGTATATATACATATGTATATATGAATATATACATATGTGTGTATATATATACACAAATGTATATATATACACATATATATTTGTATATATATAAACAACCCAAATGTCCATCAATCAAATGTCCATCAATCAAAGAGTGTATAAAGAAATATACATATATATTTGTATATATATACATATATTTGTAGATATATACCACAGTTTCTTTATACATTCTTTGACTGATGGACATTTGGGTTGTTTCCACGTTTTTGCAATTGTGAATTGTGCTGCTATAAACATGTGTGCAAGTCTCTTTTTTCATATAATGACTTCTTTTCCTCTGGGTAGACACTCAGTAGTGGGATTGCTGGATCAAATGGTAGTTCTACTTTTAGTTCTTTAAGGAATCTCCACACTGTTTTCCACAGTAGTTGTACTAGTTTACATTCTGACTAGCAGTGTAGAAGTGTTCCCTGTTCACTGCATACACACCAACATCTACTATTTTTTATCATGGCCATTGTTGCAGGAGTAAGGGGGTATCTCATTGTGGTTTTGATTTGCATTTCCCTGATTATTAGTGATGTTGAACATGTTTTCATATGTTTTATGGCCATTCGTATATCTTCTTTTGAAAATTGTCTATTCATGTCCTTAGCCCACTTTTTGGTGGGATTTTTTTTGTTGTTGATTTGTTAGAGTTCATTGTAGATCCTTTTGTAATAAAATTTTGAATATATAAACTACAGGAAAAATATCCTTCCAATATATAGAAACCATGCTAATTAATATCAGCTAAAACTTATCATGCATTTTCTATGCACCAGCCACTGTTCTATGTGTTTCATATGCAATAACTTATTTAATGATCACAATACCTTATTGAGGTAGATAGTATTTTTTTTTTTTTGAGACAGAGTCTCCCTCTGTTGCCCAGGCTGGAGTGCAGTGATGCAGTCACAGCTCATTGCAACCTCGACCTCCTGGGCTCAAGTGATCCTCCTACCTCAACTTCCCAAGTAACTAGGACCACAGAAGCGTGCCACCATGCCTAGCTAATTTTATTTATATTTTTTGTAGAAATGAGATCTCACTATGTTGCCCAGGCTGGTCTTGAAATACTGGGCTTAAGTAGTCCTCCTGCCTAAGCCTCCCAAAGTGCTGGGATTATAGGCATGAGCCATGACAGATGTGGATGTTATTATTTGCATTTTACAAATGAGAAAACTGAGGCATGCAATGTTAGAATAACTTGCCTGAGATGAAACACACTTAGTAAGTCAAAAAAACAGCATTTAAAAAGCAGTCTCATTCCAGAGATTGCATTCTTAACCATTGCACCATTTCATCACACAATAGACACTTTTAGAGTGACATAGCAATTAGTATTTGGAGCACACTTGAAACATTGAAAAACCGTTACCAGAAAAGTCTATGAATGAAAAACAAAAGAGGAAAGTCATCAGACATTAGCAGCGATTGTCTTTCTGTGGTAGAATCAGGAAAGGTTTCCTCTTATTTCTAGTTTGTTTTGTATTTCCAGTATTCATTTAATAATAGTATATCTCTTGTAGTTTTTTATTCTCAAAAAAAAGCTAATGGAATCAGTCAAAAACTGTAATTCTAAGGAGGGCCCTAGAATATTCCCAAGTAAACATACAAATGTTACAGACAAATCCTATGAAGAGGCTGACTCTCTTTTCGGAGTCAGCCCACCTGCACCCAGGTGAAATAAACAGCCTTGTTGCTCACACAAAGCCTGTTTGGTGGTCTCCACACAGATGCCCATGAAATTTGGTGCCGTGATTCGGATCGGGGGACCTCCCTTGGGAGATCAATCCCCTGTTCTCCTGCTCTTTGTTCCATGAGAAAGATCCACCTACGACCTCTGGTCCTCAGACCAACCAGCCCAAGAAATATCTCACCAATTTTAAATCCAGTAAGCGGCCTCTTTTTACTCTCTTCTCCAGCCTCCCTCACTATCCCTCAACCTCTTTCTCCTTTCAATCTTGTTGCCACACTTCAGTCTCTCCCTTCTCTTCATTTCAGTTCCTTTCATTTTCTGGTAGAGATAAAGGAGACACATTTTATCTGTGGACCCAAAACTCTGGCGCCGGTCACGGACTCGGGAAGTCAGCCTTCCCTTGGTGTTTAATCACTGCAGGGACGCCTCTGTGATTGTTCACCCACGTTCCATTGGTGTCTGATCTCCTCGGGACGCCTGCCTTGATCATTCACCCATGTTCCCTTAGTGGCAAGTCAATTGCGGGGACACCTGCTTTGGCTGCTCCCCACCCCCTTCTCCGTATCTCTGCCCTTTTCTTTAAACTTGCCTCCTTCGCTATAGGCAACATTCCACCCTCCCTCCATTCCTCCTTCTTCTCCCTTAGCCTGTGTTCCTAAGAACTTAAAACCTCTTCAACTCTCGCCTGACCTAAAATCTAAGCATCTTATTTTCTTCTGCAACACTGCTTAGCCCCAATACAAACTTGAAAATGACTCTAAATAGCCAGAAAACGACACTTTCGATTTTTCCATCCTACAAGATCTAGATAATTCTTGTCGTAAAATGGGCAAATGGTCTGAGGTGCCTGACGTCCAGGCATTCTTTTACACATAGGTCTAGTCTCTGTTCCCAATGCAACTCGTCCCAAATCTTCCTTCTTTCCCTCCCGCCTGTCCCCTCAGTCCCAACCCCAAGCGTCGCTGAGTCTTTCTAATCTTCCTTTTCTACAGACCCATCTGACCTCTCCCCTCCTCACCAGGCCGAGCTAGGTCCCGATTCTTCCTCAGCCTCCGATCCTCCACCCTATAATCCTTTTATCACCTCCCCTTCTACACCCAACTGGCTTACAGTTTGGTTCCGCGACTAGCCCTCCCCCACCTGCCCAGCAATTTACTCTTAAAAAGGTGGCTGGAGCTAAAGGCATAGTCAAGGTTAATGCTCCTTTTTCTTTATCCCACCTCTCCCGAATCAGTTAGCGTTTAGACTCTTTTTCATCAAATATAAAAAACCCAGCCCAGTTCATGGCTCATTCGTCAGCAACCCTGAGAGGCTTTACAGCCCTAGACCCTAAAAGGTCAAAAGGCCGTCTTATTCTCAATATACATTTTATTTTATTACCCAATCTGTTCCCGACATTAAATAAAGCTCCAAAAATTAAGTTCCAGCCCTCAAACCCCACAACAGGAACTTATTTAACCCCACCTTCAAGGTGTACAATAATAGAGTAAAGGCAACCAAGTAGCAACATATTTCTGAGTTGCAATTCCTTGCCTCCACTGTGAGACAAACCCCAGCCACATCTCCAGCACACAAGAACTTCCAAACACCTGAACCGCAGCTGCCAGGGGTTCCTCCAGAACCTCCTCCCCCAGGAGCTTGCTACAAGTGCCGGAAATCTGGCCACTGGGCCAAGAAATGCCCGCAGCCCAGGATTCCTCCTAAGCCGCGTCCCATCTGTGTGGGACCCCACTGAAAATCGGACTGTTCAACTCACCTGGCAGCCACTCCCAGAGCCCCTGGAACTCTGGCCCAAGGCTCTCTGACTGACTCCTTCCCAGATCTTCTCGGCTTAGCAGCTGAAGACTGACAGTGCCCAATCGCCTCGGAAGCCTACAGGATCATCACAGACACTCTGGGTAACTCTCACAGTGGAAGGTAAGTCCATCCCCTTCTTAATCAATACGGAGGCTACCCACTCCACATTACCTTCTTTCCAAAGGCCTGTTTCCCTTGCCTCCATAACTGTTGTGGGTATTGACGGCCAGGCTTCTAAACCTCTTAAAACTCCCCAACTCTGGTGCCAACTTAGACAATACTCTTTTAAGCACTCCTTTTTAGTTATCCCCACCTGCCCAGTTCCCTTATTAGGCTGAGACACTTTAAATTATCTGCTTCCCTGACTATTCCTGGGCTACATGCCTCCTTTTCCCCCAGTTCAAAGCCTCCTTCACATCCTCCCCTTGTATCTCCCCACTTTAGCCCACAGGTATAAGATACCTCTACTCCTTCCTTGGCAACCGATCATGCACCCCTTACCATCTCATTAAAACCTAATCACCCTTACCCCGCTCAATGCCAATATCCCATCCCACAGCATGCTTTAAAAGGATTAAAACCTGTTATCACTCACCTGCTATAGCATAGCTTTTTATAGCCTAAAAACTCCCCTTACAATTCCCCCATTTCACCTGTCCTAAAACCATACAAGGCTTACAGGTTAGTTCAGGATCTGCACCTTATCAATCAAATTGTTTTGCCTATCCACCCCGTGGTGCCAAACCCATATACTCTCCTATCCTCAATACCTCCCTCCACAATCCATTATTCTGTTCTGGATCTCAAACATGCTTTCTTTACTATTCCTTTGCACCCTTCATCCCAGCCTCTCTTTGCTTTCACTTGGACTGACCCTGACACCCATCAGGCTCAGCAAATTACCTGGGCTGTACTGCCGCAAAGCTTCACAGACAGCCCCCATTACTTCAGTCAAGCCCAAATTTCTTCCTCATCTGTTACCTATCTCAGCGTAATTCTCATAAAAACACACGTGCTCTCCCTGCTGATCATGTCCGACTGATCTCTCAAACCCCAGCACCTTCTACAAAACAACAACTCCTTTCCTTCCTAGGCATGGTTAGATACTTTCGACTTTAGATACTTGGTTTTGCCATCCTAACAAAACCATTATATAAACTCACAAAAAGAAACCTAGCTGATCCCATAGATCCTAAATCCTTTCCCCAATTCTCTTTCCGTTCCTTGAAGACAGCTTTAAAGACTGCCTAGCTCTCCCTGACTCATCCCAACCCTTTTCATTACACACAGCTGAAGTGCAGGGCTGTACAGTCAGAATTTTTATGTAAGGACCAGGATCGTGTCCTGTAGGCTTTTTGTCCAAACAACTTGACCTTACTGTTTTAGGCTGGCCATCATGTCTCCGTGCAGTGGCTGCCGCCGCCCTAATAGTTTTAGAGGCCCTCAAAATCACACTCAACTCACTCTCTACAACTCTCATAACTTCCAAAATCTATTTTCTTTCTCACACCTGAGGCATATACGCTCTGCTCCCTGGCTCCTTCAGCTGTACTCACTCTTTGTTGAGTCTCCCACAATTACCATTGTTCCTGGCCCGGACTTTAATCTGCCTCCCACATTATTCTGGATACCACACCTGACCCTCATGACTGCATCTCTCTGATCCACCTGACATTCACCCCATTTCTCCATATTTCCTTCTTCCCTGTTCCTCACCCTGATCACATTTAGTTTATTGATGGCAGTTCCACCTTTCCTACACATCAAGCTCAAGGATTTGCCCCTGCCCAGGACTGGCAAATTGACTTTACTTACATGCCCCGAGTCAGAAAACAAAAATACCTCTTAGTCTGGGTAGACACTTTCACTGGATAGGTAGAGGCCTTTCCCACAGGGTCTGAGAAGGCCACCGCGGTCATTTCTTCCCTTCTGTCAGACATAATTCCTTGGTTTAGCCTTCTCACCTCTATACAGTCTGATAACAAACCAGCCTTTACTAGTCAAATCACCCAAGCAGTTTATCAGGCTCTTAGTATTCAGTAGAACCTTCATATCCCTTACCGTCCTCAATCTTCAGGAAAGGTAGAACGGACTAATGGTCTTTTAAAGACATACCTCACCAAGTTCAGCCTCCAACTTAAAAAGGACTGGACAATACTTTTACCTCTTGCCATTCTCAGAATTCAGGCCTGTCCTTGGAATGCTACAAGGTACAGCCCATTTAAGCTCCTGTATAGATGCTCCTTTTTATTAGGCCCCAGTCTCGTCCCAGACACTAGACCAACCTAGACTGTGCCCCAAAAAACTTGTCATCCCTACTATTTTCTGTCTAGTCATACTCTTATTCACCGTTCTCAACTACTCATAAATGCCCTGCTCTTGTTTACACTACCAGTTTACACTGTTTCTCCAAGCCATCACAGCTGATATCTCCTGGTGCTATCCCCAAACTGCCACTCTTAACTCTCAAAGTAAATAAATAATCTTTGCTGGCAAGGCTATGCTGAACCTCCTTAGGCACTCTCTAATTAGATGTCCTAGGTCCTCCCAATTCCTAGTCCTTTAATACCTGTTTTTCTCCTTCTTTTATTCCGTTTAGTTTTTCAATTCATACAAAACCGTATCCAGGCCATCACCAATAATTCTACATGACAAATGTTTCTTCTAACAACCCCACAATATCACCCCTTACCACAGAATCTTCCTTCAGCTTAATCTCTCCCACTCTAGGTTCCCATGCCACCCCTAATCCTGCTCGAAGCAGCCCTGAGAAACATCGCCCATTCTCTCCATACCACCCCCAAAAATTTTTGCTGTCCCAACACTTTACCACTATTTTGTTTTATTTTTCTTATTAATATATGAAGACAGGAATGTCATGCCTCTGAGCCCAAGCTAAGCCATCATATCCCCTGTGACCTGCACGTATATGCCCAGATGGCCGGTTCCTGCCTTAACTGATGACATTCCACCACAAAAGAAGTGAAAATGGCCTGTTTCTGCCTTAACTGATGACATTATCTTGTGAAATTCCTTCTCCTGGCTCATCCTGGCTCAAAAGCTCCCCTACTGAGCACCTTGTGACCCCCATTCCTGTCCGCCAGAGAACAATCCCCCTTTGACTGTAATTTTCCTTTACCTACCCAAAAAACGGTCCCACTCCTATCTCCCTGCGCTGACTCTCTTTTCGGACTCAGCCTGCCTACACCCAGGTGAAATAAACAGCCTTGTTGCTCACCAAAAAAAAAAAAAAAAAAAAAAAAAAAAAAAAAAAAATCCTATGAGGAGCTTCAAATACGAATTCCAGAAGTTTAGCATGCCCTTTAGAAAGTAGAGTGTGGCGAAAAAAATAAACTGCAAACAGTGATGGATAAGTTAAATGGCTAGCGTGTAGTAATTATTTCACTATAGATATCTATATCAAAACATGTTGTACATCTTGAATTGATACAACAGAAAATAAAATACTCAAAAAAAAAAAAAAAAAAAAGAAAGTAGTTGTGGAGTCCTAACAAATTCAAACTCTAAATCAGGCCTGCTTCTGAGAAGGCAAGGACAAATAACGTCAGCATTAGCTGGACAATCCTCAAGTTATTACAGGAGAGAATCTGAATACAGGAGTTTGGGGAGGTATCGAAGCTCTGAATTAGGCTAGCAGAGCTCTAAGGCGGTTTAGAAAGGTCTTGTAGGCTTGTGTACAGGTTTCAGCTTCCATGGGATTCCAAAGCACTTTGAGCCATTAGCCTCCTATTTATGAAGGTGATTGATTGATTGAATGATTGAATGATGTGTTGATTAACGTGTTCTGCTTTTTTAAAAAGGAAGCTAGCAATAACATATTATGGAGTCTATATGCTTGTTAGAGATGGGCCGTAAATTTGGCTCCAAGATTTCTGGCAGCCAACTGAAAAAAAAGTTAAGCCACCTTACAATTTTCAGAATACATGATAGAATGAGCCAATTTTCATGAATAGGTCCAACTAGTTTGTATGCAACCAACTAGAAATTGTAAATGTTTACACAAATAAGGTGCTGGGTTATATAATGAACAATATCCTTATCATAAACATAATAATGTGTTTAATAGACTAATTCTATGAAGCCAAAACTTAAGTCAGTCACACGCACGCACTCATACACACAAACACACACACACGGTTAGGAATGACAGGCAATATGACTCTGTCCATTCGGTGCTCAGCAAGCTCCTTGTAGCTCTAGTTCAGTCTCCCAGAATGTTTAACAATATTTCTGGTTCTTTATCCTGACTCTCTGGATTCTTAATTTGCACAATGAGTTGTCTCCCAGGAGCAAACAAGAATAGTACCCTTTACACATTTGTTGCTGTGGGTTTTCAATATTTATTGACTGTGATGGGGTGGAAATTATTCAGTTGTTAGGTCACTAGACTGTAAACTTCTTCAAGTTGGGCTCATATCTCTTACCAACTTTTATTGGTCTATATCTTGATGCCTAGTACAAAGCTATGAACCAGGTGGTCATTTTGTTGTTAAAACTGAATTGATTTGTGGTTTATCATTTATTTTTCCAGGGTGGCTGAACTTAAGAAGTAAGTGAGAAAAAAGAAATAACCTAGTGAGCTCAAAAAATAGGGTCTCAGGGAAGAAACACTCTATTATATACCTCTGGTCAATAATTTTAAACATGTGCCTTTTCCATCTGCATATTTAGGGTTCACTTTCTAATTTTACCTTTGCTTTTGTCTGGAATCCCTTGGATCCAAGAGACTTTCTGTGCTGCCAGCTGAGATCGTACTGTTAACAGCTGAAACTGAAGTTTCAGAGATCTTCAGCATGACCTACTCCAAAACTCTGTGTGAAAGTCCCCAGGGTATTTACAGTCAACAACCATGTAGGAATGGAGGAAATGAATAAACAGAGCCTTCCTAGCAACCTCAACAGTCATCTGTTAGCAAAAGGGTCCTCCAGGTATAAAACTGAGGTCTACAGGGGCCTATGAGTTGAGGGATGTA
This sequence comes from Homo sapiens, assembly GCF_000001405.40. NCBI lineage: Eukaryota > Metazoa > Chordata > Mammalia > Primates > Hominidae > Homo > Homo sapiens. Next base: position 37,234,509 of record NC_000015.10, on the reverse strand, counting down.
TTAAGCCGTTCTTGCATTGCTATAAAGAAATACTGGAGACTGGGTAATTTATAAAGAAAATATGTTTAATTGGCTCATGGTTCTGCAGGCTGTACAGGAAGCATAGCTCTGGCATCAGCTTCTGGGGAGGCCTCAGGAAGCTTACAAGCATGACGGAAGGCAAAGTGAGAGCAGGCACATCATATGGGGAAAGCAGGAACAAGAGAGAGGAGGTGGGGAGCTGCCACACACTTAAAAACAACCAGATCTCATGTGGACTAAGACCAAGAACTCACTTAGCACCAAGGAGATGGCCCAAGTCATTCATGAGGGATCTGCCTCCGTGATCCAAACGCCTCTCACCAGGCCCCACCTCCAACACTGGGGATTATATCTCGTGAGATTTGGAAGGGACCTCCACACTATCTCAAGGGACATGCTTCAGATAAGCTGCTTATATTGACACCTCTTCTCCCTGATATATCCTACCTGCATATATTTCACTATTTGTGAAAATCAATAGGTTTAAGCACATTATATATCCATAGGACAGAAGGCCCTAATACTTTTTAGTTCCTTTCTATGTTCCAGAAGAAAAAAAATTCTGGAAATCATCTTCTATCATTATATATCCTTTCAGTTCACTTATGCTAATACTGTCATAATTTTATGACTTTAGTGAGAGTGGTTCCCACCACTTATTTCACTCTCCAGCTTGCCACTGACTTTCTCAATTTCCTCCTAATCCAGCCTAGATTGCACGGTCACTATACTCACACCCTTGTGAACATCCTTAACTTGCCCCATTTGCCCCATTTGCCCTCCTTGTACTAAGCTGGCAATGCATCAACACTGATTAACTTATTTAATCAATGTCTGCAAACAAATCATTGAGCATTGCTGGAGAAAATCACGTATCCACACTTAATGACTCCCTTTATTTATGATTACAAATCTTAATAAATGATTACAAAGTTAATACATGATGATGATAATTTGTGTGCCTATTAAATTAAATTTTTCTCTCCTCAAAGCTGTCTGTTTAATGCCTTCTGTGATGGCTTTTTGTGTCAACTTGACTGGGCCACTGGATGCCCAGATATTTGGTTAAACACTATTCTGGCTATGTCCATGAGGATGTTTCTGGAAGAGATTAACATTTGAATTGGTAGAGTGAGTAAAGCAGATTGCCCTCTGCAGTGTAAGTGAGCCACAGCCAATCTATTGAAGGCCTAAATAGAACAAAAGATTCAGTAAGGGAGAATTTGCTCTCCCTGCCTCACTGTCTTTGACCTGGGATGTTGGTCTTCTCCTGCCTTCAGACTCTGAATGGTGCTTACCCTATCCATTCTCCTGTGTCTCCAGCTTGCCAAATGGTTCTGAAACCTTCAGACTCCATAACCATGTGAGCCAATTCTTTACATATTTCCTATATAGAGAAAATCTAGAGAGAAATATAGAGAAAATATAGAGAGAAATGTATTTCTTATATGTAGAAAATATAGAGAGAGAAAATATATGTTTAAGAATATCTAGAGAGAGAAGAAAAAAAAGGAATATCTTTCTTGAACCCATTTATCTCTCTAGCCCCTGCTCCATTTCTCTGCTCCCATTCCACCAAATTTTTTTTTTTTTGAGACGGAGTTTCACTGTGTCACCTAGGCTGGAGTGCAGTGGCGTGATCTTGGCTCACTGCAACCTCCACCCCATGGGTTCAAGCGATTCTCCTGCCTTAGCCTCCCAAGTAGCTAGGATTACAGGTGCCGCCACCACACCTGGCTAATTTTTGTGTTTTTAGTGGAGACGAGGTTTCACCATGTTGGCCAGTCTGATCTTGAACTCCTGACTCCGCCTCAGCCTCCCAAAGTGCTGGGATTAAAGGTGTGAGCCACCACACCTATATTCACTGTCTCCAATTTCTATCTCCCCAATCTCTTCTCAATGCACCAAATCCTTTCTATCACTCCACTGAAGGAATCAGGTCTTCAGTGATCTACAGTGACCTACTTTAAACACCATCTTCTTATCCTCATAGCTTATCTCCCACTTATAAGTAAGAACATATGATATTGGTTTTCCATTTCTGAGTTACCTTACTTAGAATAATGGCCTCTATCTCCATCTATGTCACTGCAAAGGCCATTATTTTGTTCCATTTTATGGCTTAGCAGTATTACATGGTGTACATATGCCACATTTTCTTTATCTCACATTCAATAATACCACACTTTCCTAATTTTCTTTCACTGTCACTGGTCACACCTTCTCAATCTTTTTTCTTGGCTTCCCCTGTTCTGTCAGATCTAAATCTAGATCTCTAGTGATCACCAAGGCCCTCTCCTTGATTCTCTCTTCTCTACCTATAATCTCTCAAATAATCCCATCTATTTTCCAGTATCATCTATATGTTAATAAAACTGAATTTATATTCCAAGTTAAGACCTCTCTTTGAGCTCTAACCTCCTAGATCCAACTACCTCCTTGATATATCACTTGATATATCCAAATGCCTCCTTGATATATCACAATTGGCATCTGTAACTTAACAGGGACCAAGCAAACCTATTGGTTTTCCCAATAGGCACACATATACACATTCCATTACTACCTGCCTGCCTCTGCTTAAGTCCTTCCCATGGCTTCTCATTGTACTTAAATAAAGTCAAAACTTCTCACTATGGCCTACAAAACCCTACATGATCTCATCCCTGCCTCCCTTTTGATGTCATTTCTTCCCAGTATTCACCTTGGTTACTGCATAAGTGCCTCACTAATATTCTGCATGTACCCTAAAATCAGGCTCATGCCTGTCTTAGTATTCTTACATTTGTTATTTCATCTGCCTGGAATGCCTTCTCCAAAATCCTTACAAGGCTGCCTCCTGTTGTCATTAAATGCTACCTCCTCAGAAAAGGAGCCAAAGCTGCTAGTATACAAACACACACACACATAAACACACATAAACACACACACACACACACACACACCAGTCACCCACTCCCAATTAAACTATTTTATCTCCTTCATAGTGCTGTATTTGTCATGAATTTAATTTGCCTTCTTTATGTATGTATGTTTATTGTCTCTCAGCAACTAGAAACTAGGTTCCTTGGAGCTAGGAATGTTTTTCTTAGACATTGTTGTATTCCCAGGGTCCATAATCTAAATGTCCTTTACATGTCCAGCATCTAAATATCACAAAAATACAATTTTTTTGACTGGTCACAGGAAAAAAATGTGTCTACTTCAAAATAAAATGATCTATTGCAATAAGGTAGTAAGATTAAAAACTATAGTGATTTCAGGCAATTAAGAGAAATCTGGGACAGAGGTGGATAGAGAAGAAAAGAGTGATTAGGTCATTACAGATAACTAGTCTTGTTATGCAGTTAACTAGATATGGTTGTAAACAAAAAACATATTTATACTTCAGAGATATAATGAACCAAATAAAACAACATACCATGTTATTGAACTTAGAATCTCATAGGAGAGTGGTGAGTAAAGAAATATATGTTCCCAAACATGAAGCTATTGAAAAGTTCTACAGGAAATAAGGGATCATTAGAAAAAGAATTATGCCAAAGGTCATTTGGAAAGCATTATAGCCACAGGAATATCAAAGTCATCTTTGGAACATAGTGATCTAAAAGAAATCATAATTTTAAGACATATTAGTAAAGACATAACTTAGCTTAAAGTTACTCTTCAGTTTACTATTCACCTATCTTAAGAAATCTTCAACTTTCTTCCTTCCTAAAATATAAGTAATATGGAAATCCCATGGGAATCTCTGAAAAGAAGAAAGTTGACTTTAGCATTTGAACTGCAAAGTAGTGATCAATTAATTTATTAATAATCAGATAATTGAGCAGGGGGTTCCTGAATAAAATGAAAAGTAGAAATAACCAGAAGGACAATTTTAAGAACCACCTCTCAGCTTTATAAACTAATCCTCCTCTAATGGCCCTTTTTAATGTAATTTATAGTTTCATCATTACCCTTTTTGTATTAGTAATTATTTCTAAAACACCAAAGAACCATCTTTTTTTCAAGGTCTTTCCCTCAGTCTGATTTACAACCCAGCTCAAGTTGGACTCTGTCTTTCTGAGGTTTGACATTTCAAAATATTTATTGCTCTTTTACATTAATGCCTTTCTCATGAATCTGAAGGTGACCGTTATTTCTTTCATCGTGTTGTAATTAAATGGATCAACTATTGCTTTATTATTTCCACTATTTGTCTGCACAGCACATTAAAACTTTCAGATTAGAAAGTGATATTGAGCACTGTGTGAACTACAACAAACAAATATTTCCGAAAATATAGGGTCCTCTTGATGCATCACTAAAGGAGCTGTTCCAAGCGAAAGCACAAAATCTTTAATATTTTATTGATCAGATCTAAACCTTCTGCCCAAAGTGGCAATTACATTTCAATTAAACTGACTGAAAGCATCATATTAAATTTCAGCACTTTACGAGCTATCAGATAATGCTGCAGGACAAATCTTTAGTATGATCACACTCTTTTCAAATTATATTATCCTGTTCATTCACAATAAAAGTGACAGTTTTAGGTATACTTTCAATATTTCTTGAATATAAACCCTCTAATGAACACATTTTATTGCCTTTAAATCAATTATTATTGGATATTTTAATAAAGTGAATTGAGCACTTTGTTTTACACACTGCTTAGAAGTTATTATATTTTGCAGTCTGCACAGCAAAGAACGGAATCAGAGAGAAGACAGAGAGAGAAATGGCCAAATATCTGACAGTGTAGAAGAAATGGAATGAGCCATTTATAAGGAGGAAGGCTTCCTGTCTCACTCTATAACATTTAATGATACATGCTAATTAGCATATGATTAATGTTTTTTCTCTTTTTGAAATTTCGGTCCAAGTTGTAGAAGTACCTTCTACCACAATAAGAAAAATGTTAGAAATCACAAAATTATAGCACAAATATAGTCTTATGTATACTTTATTATGGAAATTGGGACCCTTAAGTTTTTATTTGTTTCTCTCCCTTGCCCATTGAATTTATGAGTTATAATATTATAGCTCAGATTTTCAGAGCACAGTCCATGTTAAATGTTGACCAAGACATTGTGCCCATCTGAAAAATATAAATAGAATCCTGATACAGTTGATTCTTCACTGTGGTCACCCTTGTAATTAATGCAGACTCCAGACTGAAGCATACAGTCGAGGTGGTCAGTATTGATTGCCAAGATGGCCAAATGAATGCTTTAGCTCCGCACAGTCCAGATCACTCAGCACGTATGCAACATACCACTTCATAAAAAGCTCAGTGTACTGGTCCTGTTTCATGCACATATGTACATGAACTGGGCAAACATGGCATAGAAGCACACTCAGAAAGAGACTAGGTAAAAGAGTGCCCTCCACTTTGAAAGAACTTAGCTACATATGAGGATTTGGCCCTGCTTTGTGACTATAGAGATGTCTTTATTGCAAAAGTTGAAAGCATGCTGGAATAACCTCAGTGTAATCCACTGGAGTGCATTACATTAAAACTTAGATGAAAATCATAATTTCTTATTGAAATGATTCAATTAGATTACAGTCCCTGAGTTTGAATAATTGGGTCTCAAGGCGACAAGGGACTTTAACAACTCATTAAAACTATCCCTGTGTAGCTGGATTACAGGACCAACAGCAAGGCTGTTCGTGGAGGTGGTATCAATCTGTAAGAGATGTTAGAAGACCATTTCAATAAATGTGGGACCAGTTAACTCAGGCTTTTGTACAAAATCTATGCGGTGGGTAAACTACAAATGGCCCACCTCCTTCAGAAGTAGATAGTGCTGCCAAGTCACAAGTTTAAAACTACTTATTTCTAGCACCATTCTTTCTGTTGAGCATGGTCTTCATCAGCTGGAATTAGGCAGATACAATCAACTATTCACCGTTTACCTGGAATGAGTGGCAAAGTATCTGCTTCCCAACAAAAATATGTGTTTTAAAAATAAAAAGGAAGATAATACAAGCAATTTTAAAATAGGAAATGCTTTACCTGCCTATTTCAGAATATCGATTGTACTTCCAGCAGTTGAAGTGAATCAAGGCCATGGTCTCCATAGAATTTTTATTAAGACAAAATCAGTTTCTCCTGAGCTCAGATTGTGAACGAACCCAAAGAAATGTTGTGCCAAGTAAGAGCCCACCTATATCATTCCTCATAGACCACAGTATAGGAATGGGAACTATTAGAAACACATTCTAAATTGTAGTAATTCTCACCATGGGCAAATCTCTATACATATAATTGTAAGCTTCAGTCTACTTGTTCTCTGCTAAGCAGAGATGGTTAACAACAGACAATCCTAAAAATGTTCATTGTCACATGTCAGTGACTTGTTTTACACATTGGCAAAGTAGTGGTGTAATAGATGAAGGGTGTGGCCTATTTGAACTTTTAAAAACAATAAGCATAGCAGAAAAATACTTCCCAATAAGGGTTGAACCCTTCAAATTGGAATGCCTGGAAGACTGCCCACCCAGACTTCCTCAGGTGAAGCTGATCAGTCCTTACCCTTCTGCTGCCCTCAGCCAGGCCCTCGATGCAATCTCTCTCCTGGTTCTCTTGAAAGCACTCAGTGGGCCACTGAAGTGAGAGAACACAGTAGGAATTCTACTTACATTGATTCGTATCTAAAAATTAATGGAAATCAATCTTTATTAATACTTTAATATATGGTTTGACACTAACAACCTCACTCAGACCAACCTCCCTCTTGGGCTGTGCATCCCAGCTCAAGAGGGAGACAGAGCAAACTGTGGCCTCCACAGGGCAGGGGGGCCCTCCTGCCCACATTTGCACTCAGCCTCTCCCAGCATATAATGGTTTGCACTTACCCAGTTAGGCTTCCAGATAACACTATCTAGTTCTAGCTAAGCTAACCCTCACAACCTGACCCTCTGGTTTTAAAAGGAAAACTGTGGTATGAAGATACATGAGCAATGCAAGCACAGGCAAGCATTCCTCTTATTCCTAATTGAAGGCATCATAGTTCACACAAGTTGAATACAAATTCAGGCAAAAAGGCTCAAAATTATCAATATGATTATTGGAAATATGAGTTAATATCCACAATTGCGATAACGACCTTCACCCTATTCATGCAACAAATATTTCTTGAGCACCTACTACAGGCCAAGCAGTATTCCAGGCCCAGGGCATATGACAGTGGACAAAATGACAGGTCTCTGGTCTCATGGGGAAGAGGGGAAAGAGACATAATAAGCTAAATAAGTAAATCACATAGGGCACTCAAAAGTAATAGGAGAAAAATAAAGCAGGGAAGAGAGATGGGGAATGACAGGGAAGGGTTTATAATTTTAAATGAGATGGTCAGGGAAGGCCTCACTGAAATGATATGTGATAAAAATGATGCAATGATGAGCAGCAGGACGTACCAAAACCAACCATCTTCTATGTAAAAACAAACATCTACAATTTGAAATTGAAGGCATCAGTGGGTTTAAAAAATGAAATTCTGTTTTAAAATTTCTAAGACACATTTCAAAATTAGCTCATTCTTTTTTTAAAATGTTTAAAATTATTTTTTTCTTATTATACTTTAAGTTTTGGGATACATGTGCAGAATGTGCAGGTTTGTTACATAGTTACACACGTGCTGTGGTGGTTTGCTGCACCCATCAACCTATCATCTACATTAGGTATTTCTACTAATGCTATCCCTCCCCTAAACCCCCACCCCTGACAGGCCCCGGTGTGTGATGTTCCCCTCCCTGTGTCCATGTGTTCTCATTGTTCAACTCCCATTTATGAGTGAGAACATATGGGGTTTGTTTGTCTGTTCCTATGTTAGTTTGCTGAGAATGATGGTTTCCAGCACCAAAACAGCATGGTACTGGTACCAAAACAGATATATAGACTAATGGAACAGAACAGAGGCCTCGGAAATAACACCACACATCTACAACCATCTGATCTTCGACAAACCTGACAAAAACTAGCAATGGGGAAATGATTCCCTATTTAATAAATGGTGTTGGGAAAACTGGCTAGCCATATGCAGAAAGCTGAAACTAGATCCCTTCCTTACACCTTATACAAAAATTAACTCAAGATGCATTAAAGACTTAAATGTAAGACCTAAAACCTTAAAAACCCTAGAAGAAAACTTAGGCAATACCATTCAAGACATAGGCATGGGCAAAGACTTCATGACTAAAACACCAAAAACAATGGCAACAAAAGCCAAAATTGACAAATGGGATCCAATTAAACTAAACAGCTTCTGCACAGCAAAAGAAACTGTCATCCGAGTGAACAGGCAACCTATAGAATGGGAGAAAATTTTTGCAATCTACCCATCTGACAAAGAGCTCATTCTTTTGCATATTAATTTTGTGTATTGTTTAAAAATAAACTTAATATATTAGCACAACAGAACCAGTATAATGTTTATAAGTAAAGAAAGAAATATTCTTGTATTTGAGATGGGTTCAAAAATGTTTACTGATGGGAGTGTGTGATGAAAATGTTTGGAGAGTACTCTTCTAGACTACAATAAAGTAATTTTTATGAAATGACAATTTGATCACCCCTTGCTTATCTAAAGCGTGGTCATAGTTTCTGATTGCCATGAAAGATATATTCAGATCTTTAACTTGGTTCTACATGACCTGGCCTTCTCTCCATCTCACCCTCACTTCAGAGAGACTGAACTTCTCCCAGTTTTTAGAGTAGCCCTTGCTTCCTCTCACCTCCTGGCCTTCACATCGCCTATTCCCTCACTTGAGAATACTCTTTTAAGGACAACCCTCACTCTCAGAACCTTCCCACTTTTCACCTGCTCGGCTGCTCCTTGTCCTTCACGTTGTGGGATGCTTCAGACGTCACTTCCTCCTGGTGGCCTTCTCAGACTAACCAAGTCCAGTTTAGTTGCCCTCGTTGGAATTCAACTTCCCTGTGAGCAGTAGGAGGGCATGGACTTATCCTGGGTCATTCATTGCTGTACTCCTAGAACCAAATCAGTGCCGGGCACATAATAGGCATTTCATACATACTTATTAAATGAGTAAATGAATAAACGAACGGACAGAGCTACAGCATATTTAAGTATTGATGCAAATTCCATATCTTCTGCAATGCTTGTAGAGGTTCAGGGTTCCATTGATCATACCCTTACGACAGTTTCTCTCTGTATATATTTATAACAGAACATTTTACCCAGGGTTTTCATTATTTTCACCTTGGATAGCGTAAACACTGATGGAATCCGAAAAGCTTATAGTGCATCAGATTGTGCCTGACATGTAATGAACACACCAAAAATCTTTATTAAAATATTTATTATATGAATTTATTTGAGAATGTAAGCTACAGTACCCTCCAAAAATATGTATTAAAATATTAATCACATGAATTTCTTTGAGAATGTAAGATCCGGTACACACCAAAAATATATATTAAAATATTTATCCCATGAATTTCTTTGAGAATGTAAGATACCGTCCTCAATTCGGGCAAACCTATGTTCTTAAATGATCAATTTTCATAAAGCATAATGTCTCAGAAGCTCTGTAATTATATTTTAGACTCTGTAATTATACTTTGGACTACTATTTGCCAATATATAAAACACTGTCACTTAGATGTGATACATTTTCAGGATTATTTGTTCTTAGCTGCTCTGCTCATGCAAATTTACAAAGTTGAAATAACTGTTGTTTTACATTTTTTTATTTATTTTATAATCACACCATAAATACTGGAGATTAGTTGATTGTAAAGTAATAATAATGTACCATGTCTGTGTATTTCATATGTATGGTGGGTATGTGTGTGGCTGAGGAAGGTATGTATCTAGACTTGTCTTCTCCATGTAACAAAGGGCTGTCCTCACTTTACTGATACGTGGAGGAAGAATTTAATTTGAGATGCCACAAAATTTTCTTTACAATGCTCACCAGGGAGATAAATAAGAGATTAAATGTGACTATAAGGAGCTAGAACTTCCTCCTTATGAAAGACTGATCACATTCTTCTTGTTGGCAATTATGTAAGTCTTTCCTTTTCCAAAATGCACCAACACCCGTTTCTCAAACCTTGGTAAAGCAAAATGACATGATGAAAGAAAAATGTTAAGAGCAGACATACTTGGACTATTCTTGTAGTAGTCAGACTACATTCTTTTTGCGGAATACTCCTGATTTTTTTCACTTTTTTCTAAAAGCAATATTAATTTTTGAGGGATAATAAGAGGAAACCCCTAGCTTTGACCAAGAAAAAAATTAAAATCAATGAATATAAATATAGAAGGAGATGCTGTGTGTTTTTAAGAACCTGCTCTCGCATTTAAGCAAAATCAGTCCACAAGCAAAATCAGACCACAAGCTGTGTTGTGTTGATGAAGTGCATGATATTTGAGAGCATTTTTTTCCATGATTCAGTGTGTTTGGTTTACTTTTAGCTATAAATACCTTTTTCATATAATTCTGCCTTTCCAAGGCATACATATGTAAGCAATCTTGACAAACTGATCAAGCCAAGCTGCTAATAAATTTATTTGATTGCTATTTTTTGTATATCCTGTACCTCCTAAATATATAAATTCCTACAAGTAATAAAAGACTAATTTTTATTGCATTTTAATGGAGTGATTTGGCAATTTTTTATGCTTGTGTTTTATTTAACTACAGTGAAAGCCTTCAGAATAAGCTTCATGTAAGGATATAAGTAGATGGGGAAAAGATGGAGGAAAATGGAGATGGAAGGTAAAAGAGCTTGCTATGCTCAGAAAGTGCTTTGCATTTCATTGAGTCTTACAATTCATTCTCAAGTACAGTAGCTCTGTTGTGTGAGCAAATCTCTTTGGCTAGACCATAATAATTGAACTTTTACAGATTTCTCAAGTACATCGAAACTGCTGCTAAATCAGAAAGGGTGAACTGAAGCCTGCTCCACTATACCACACTCACTCATCTCCAATGCTATGCTGGATTTATTTTTGACACTAAGAAAAGAACCATGAATTTTTGTCAACTGCAGCATGGGAATTTACATTTGTTCTATAAAATGCACTGAAAGGACCAGCCTGCTCTTTGAGTATGGGAAATGTAATCTATCCAACTCTCAATAAACTTGAGAATATATATCTGGTTAAACCCATCTAAAATGAGATGCAGTCCTGGCAATATGGTGGGCTCAGAAAGCCTGGCAATAAAAGTAGATATACAGTATCTGACATCAGATTGTTTCAAGCTTAATTTCAGTAAAGTAATAATGTCAGGAAAAGAAACGCTCTGAGATGCACAGATTGATACCATTAGATAGAAACTATGCAATGCCTTATGAACACAACCATTTTTGACTTGATATTATATGTAAAGAATAGAGCAATATTCAGTGTGCCAGCTCCAGATTTGCAGTTATAAAAGTTGACCAGGATAGTGGCCAGGGAGAAGGATAAAATATGGCAAAATACATTCCTCTGTAAACAAAATCAAATAGGATTATACCACTCTAAAATATGTTCTGTGTAAATGCCCTCCACAATTTGCCCTGGGTAGTGAATAATTGCCAACATTCAGTGAGAAGGAGCCTCCAAACACAGAATGTTAAACAAATAATGCATATGTATCATAGTCAAACTAAACAAAAGCACGTCGGTGGCACTTCTACCACCACAGCAGAGGTGCATGAAATAATTGGTGAAAGGCGATGTATATCTTGAGAAACCCAAGCAATGAAAGCCCAGTTCCATTTATTTTTCTCTTAAATTGCTTTTTCCAGTTAATAAATAATCACATAATCACATCCTACTTCCAGGAGAACATACGTGGTTGCCACCCTGAGCAGGTTTCATTTGTGGGCTCACACCTCTCTATTCAGGATTCCAAGTGTCAGGTCTGCCTTGGGCTTTCATCTTCACAAATGTCAAGTGTGTTTTGTCTTCAAAAACAATGGTGTTTCTGGTTTTACTTGTCCTGTACGAATCACTCTCTGCTCTCCTTTCTCGTTTGGAGAAGACATTATAGCAAGTTCAGGTGCAGATCAAGTTTGTAAGAAATTAAGTGAGGCATACACACAAGGACAAAAGCACATGTAGAAATAGACACTGCACTCCCCCCTCCACAAACACACACACACACATTTTCTACCCAAATACAGCAAGATGCCCTAACAAAGAGATTACTTGGACATACACCTTTAAAAGCCAAGAAGACAAGTAAATAACCCATAGAGAAATATCCTTTACAATTTTGGAAAATATTATGGCAAGCTTAAGTCAATAGCTATTGCCGCAATTAAAAAAATTATTTCTAAATCCATTTAGTTAAATATTAAGTATGCTCCCTATTATGCTGTGAAATGAATAAAAGAGAGACAGATTACATTTTTTTCTTTCACCTCCAAAATAATGAAAAGATTACTGACAAATCAATATTGTTGCTATTAATAGTTGCCTCCGTCAGCCATTTTGGGGGAGACGTTATGCTTTTCTCGATTTGTACACCACGAGTCTGTTCTCCGTCATTCCCTTTCTCTTTAATCTTGTTTGAGTGTACAGCTCACTCGTCCTTATTTTATTGACTCAATCACAGGCGCACTGTCACTTTTTATAAAATGGTCACTGCAGAATCACATCAAGCAAATTTTTGATTCTGCAGTCAGTAATTTAGTGCCTTTATGGAATTGCAATTTCAGGGCTCACTGCTTGTTTTTCTAAAATGTACTTTAGGAATTAGTTACTCCAGCCACAAATCAGTTGAATTTATGCACAGTTGTAATACAGTTTATGGCCTCATGGTACATTGCTTCAAAAACAGCAGATGTGAAATTATGATAAATATAATGAGTGTTTTTTTGCCTGATCTAGTGGAGTAGAGAAGGATCTGGAGCGTGTTTACCTATCTCATACAGTACATTTAATGTCTTAGTCAGGAGCCCTGACAATGGCTGATTAATGTCCTCATCTCCTTTATTAAAGATAAGAGTAGCACTGCAGTCAGGAGATAGAAAGCACACCATAAATCTTCCTAAAATGAGCAGTCAAATAATCACTCATCAGAAATAAAATCTACATACATTAACACTAACACTCAGCCTTCCACGCACGCTCCCATAAAAAGCAAAAAGAGATGGCGGTCCTGAAGTTTTAATTTGAACTAGTTCTTTAAGTTGAATATTACCAACCCTGTAACCTGGATGCAAAAGCTGGCATTTAAAAGCACATGTGAAAGGAGCAGATGCCTCATCATTACATTAAGAGCATGAAGCAGGCAACAATTAAGCGATTCACTGGAAAGACATAATGCTGATCTATGCTAGCAATTAATCACAGAATACATTAGACAATGATGGGTGACCTACAAATTTTTGACAAAATAATTTTTCATCATGTTGGCGATTTCTTAGCCTAATATGCCTGCAAGGCACAGAGTCAAAACCTGTCATTTATTCCGTCTCTCCTTGACAGGCGGCAACCTGTCTTCCAGACAAAATGAACATTATCTGTGCTCACTAGACATTTAGTGCAGGGCTTAGCTTATGACTAATGATAATCGGCAGACAGAAATGTTAGAGTCTGAAATAATGTTCTCTTTGTTAAAGAAATTTCTTGAGGTAGAATTTTTTTTCCGAAAGATGTATAAAGATAAAAACTGGTTTTTATCTAGGTTTTAATGCAACTCGAAGAACCAATATTTCCCTTCTACCAAAATAAACAGAAGGATGTAACAATTTTTTAAATTAACATCTCATTTGAATACCGACTCTTGCCTGAAAATGTCTTATGTGGTTAGGAACTGAGATACAAAGGAAAGCTCAGGAGATAGAGTCTTAAACAAGAAAATATAGGCAAGCTGTTTTGTGTTCCAGGTTTTATTTTGAATGTGGTGGAAATAAGTTTGAAACATCATGGGTGCATGTGTTGCAGAATATAAATAAATGAAGACTGTGTTGAGAAATGCACTCCCACCATTCCTATTTCTCTTGATTTCCATTCATCACTAGGTTCTTCAAAGCCTGAGACAACATATTTGGGAAAGGCAATTTTGAGCAAGAGAAATGCGTAAAATTGCAAATGTATTAAATTGATTTAAAATTCCACAAGCAAGTGTTTTATCTTGTACTTATAATTAATATAATTGTTTTATATGCTTTGGATGGAGAGAAATCGATTTTTTTTAGTTATTTTTCTTGTGCATTACACGTGCAAAATGCCATCTCAGAGACAGATTTTTCTTTGGATTCAGGCACCAAATTCCTATTAGCCTTAATGGTACTTACACATGCACGCTGATGGCGAATATACCCCCTAAGCTGGAAATTTAAAAGAACAAATGGCAAGGACATCAAAATAGTGAAGTCTAATTTAGATGATCCATAAGCCTGCACAGTTACTTTCCTGAGAAGGCAAACAAATGTTATGCCTTATGATGTTTCCGATTGTTTTGATAGCCCTGTAAATACATCCTCTAGACTCATTAGTTAAAGGGAAAGTCTGTTTTTATCAAGCAATGCAATTTTTGACCACATGTGTTTGGTTTGAATTTTATTTTTTTCTATTTTGCATAATGTGTTATTGCAAGTTCATATAATGTAGTTGATCACTTCAATCACAGCATCTTGCTGTGCACCTATCAAACAGCTCGTATGTCATTCTTTTCCCAAAGATGAAATAGAGGAGGAAAACGCAAAAGGTTTTTGATCCCAAATCATGGTTATTTTATTAGGTTTGCTCCAAATTCCTTCTAGAAAGAATCTGATTGTTGCATAATCCAAAGAAGTACATGTTATTCTGATAAGATGACAGCTGAAGTCCCATAAATCACTGAATTTATCAGTTGACAAAGCCAGATAAATAGTCATCTACCTGGCAAAGGAGGGCCTGTTCTGTTATTATTCAAAATAGTTCAGGGAAGGCTACTGAGAAAATTACCCTTTCCTTTCTGAACATAGCCAGGGCTTCCAGTCCAAGGATCTGGGTACACTGACTATGAAAGTCAATATTTAAAGATCTGTCTGATACCAGGATAACAAACAACTTTAACCTTTAGGGATCACAAATCCCTTATTTTCCGGCTTTCATTTTATCTTTTGCAAAATAAAGATGAGAGCATTATCACCCTTTTTCCAGTCACTGAGCCTCATCTCCGTCATGTATATTGATCATCAGCACCAAGCAGCTTCTCAATGAGGGCCAGGAGAACCTGGGTGTTGTAACAAGTCTCCTCCAGCAGGTTACATCACCAGGGCCCAACAGGCTGGAATTGCCTCCCTGCCAAGGCAAAGCTAGTTCTGTGTTTGTTATTCCCACCACCATGAAGGAAACCTCCAGAAAATCCTTTGCATTATTCAAAACTGAAATTTTACCTCAACAAAAATATGAATGAGAGATAGGGACCTGTACAGTCAAATGACCATTTGGTACTGATCACCCATTAAATGTCACAAAAAAGTAAATTTAATTTGATTAAAAAATAAATTAGTATATTAAAATCTAGAAGGCAGACAGCTAGCTTAGAGCTAAGGAAATAGAGCTCTGTGCCTCCTATTCTAATCTTGGAAATAGTGAACTTTAGAGCTTATCCTCACCTCCACTTATTCTCTTTTAGCTATTATTAGATCTCTCTCTTTCCCATATATGCCCCTTCTCCCTCTATGCCAGCCAACACATTCATCATACACTCTTTCTCTGCAGGTAAAGTGGAGTCAGAAGAAGAACCAAACGCTGATTCGAACATCTGGTAGATGGATCATAATTACAGCAGAGTTGCTGGGCAGATAAGGCTGAAGACACGTAGAAGAAAACAACTATTGGGTGAATTTTGTGAGCATTGAAATGACACAGCACAGGGGAGCTATAAAGGGGAGTTATGACTTTGTTCCTGTTTTTAAATCCACACTTTGCTGGTTCAAGAATTGCTTTAAGATCATACTTTTGATCTTCCGTGCACTCCTGAAGTAGGAAAAACACTGACTAGAAGGTCAAAGTCATAATACTACTGTATGGTTGATTTGAGGGGACTTCCTAGCTGTCCACCCAGTGCATGAATTCTTCTCTGCAACATCCATATGTAATGGCTATCTGTGTTTTCTTTTGACTTCCTTCAGTGATGTGAAACTTACCCTGAATGAGACCTTCTTCTCCTAGGAATACAAAAAGTTAATAATAATAATAATAATAGTTATTATCAATTTAGCATTTATTAAATACCAGACATTGGAATACAACCTTTACCTGCATGTCGTTTAAATTCATTCTAAGTATTATCAACCCATTTTAGAGATGAAGTAATCAAGACAGCATTAAGAAACTTCCACAAGAACAGAGAACTACTTGGTTCTGTATGATTCTAGAGGCTGCGCTCCTAATCTGTGTAGAATACCACTTCCTTCAAGTATATACACATTTTTAGTCTTGCAGAATAAGCTGATTCCACACAGGTGTCATCTTCACTTTCTCACCTCCTGTTCCACTCCTTCTCTTCCAGGAGGCATTTTTAGCCCAGTTTAACATTTCTAGTTGTCAGGGCTATTTCTCATATGACTTAACTTCTATTGCCTCCTCTCTTTCCCCTGAGTATTCTCTTAAAATCTCGCACTCAGAACAAAATGTAATAATTTTGAAGAGGTCTGGCCACTTTTCCTGGAAGCTATACTTCTATTTACATGGACTGAGATGAAATGACCTTTGGTCTTAGGTCATATTTTGGAAGTGCTAAGTTGTATCACTCAGTTGACACTCAAATGTTGCAATCCAAAAAAAGTGCCAGCTACAGTTCATGTGACCATGACACACCTCTCCCTGGATTTCCACCTGATGTCATCATCAATGGGATGTGGAACCTTCAGTAGGCCTCATTTTCTTTGTCTAAGAAGAGCTAGTTTGTTGATTTCTCTTCAAGACCTACTCCAGCTAATGTATTAGCTGCTTCTTCCATGCATGTTCCTATAAATTCTCTTTTGCATATTGCTCACTCCTCTACAGGCATACCAAATTGAGCATGGGGTAAGGAGACAGTGGATAGGGCTGACAAAAAGCAGAAAATTAAGGAAAAAGCAAAAGCTTACTTTAAGAAGAGATTTATTGGCCAAGTGTGGTGGCGAGCACCTGTAGTCCCACTACTCGAGAGGCTGAGACAGGAGAATCACTTGAGCCCAGGACTGTGAGGCTGCAGTGAGCTACAACTGCGCCACTGCACTCCAGCCTAGCAGCCTGGGCAACAGAGAAAGATCCTGTGTCTAAAAAAAAAATAGAAGAGATTTATTTACATTCAGGTCATATTTTATGTATGATGTGAGGAGTGTTGTAAACCTTTTAGAGTTTAAGCCTCTAAGAGTCAGGTACTGTCTGTCAGGGAAGCTTTGGCATGATCCTAGATTCAACAGGAGAAGCAATAATCTTTTTTGAAGTCCTTCTAATAAACTGGATTTATTATAAAACAAATTAACTAGGGTCAAGTTCTTTGAACTTAGATCCTATGCAATTGTTCTAGATATCACCAGAATCAGGTGTGTTTTCGGATCTCTGAATGAAGCAGCATTTTTGGCAGAGTATATCCAACTTACTCACTTTACTCCTTCCATAAGTAGAAAATTCAGAGAAAAAAAAAATTTTTTTAAGACGGAGTCTCACCCTGTTGCCCAGGCTAAAGTGTGCTGGTGCGATCTTGGCTCACTGCAATCTCTGCCTCCCAGGTTCAAGAAATTCTTCTGCTTCAGCCTCCCGAGTAGCTGGGATTACAGGCACCCGCCACCACGCCCAGCTACTTTTTGTATTTTTAGTAGAGACGGGGTTTCACCACATTAACCAGGCCAGTCTCAAATTCCTGACCTCAAGTGATCCACCCGCCTCAGCCTCCCAAAGTGCTGGGATTGCAGGTGTGAGCCACCACGCCTGGCCAAGAGAAATATTTTTTTAATTATTTTAGATCTTTTTAGTGCTGACTGTGTTTCATCATTTTTGATGAGAAGATGGATTACCATAGGAAGGGGAAAACTGTAGATAAGCTCTTCTCTTCTAAAAACTTCGGTGATTGTTGCAGCTTCCAGGAAACAACAGCCCATGTGTCTTGCTTCATTACCTGAAAGATACCCAGCTTACTTCTGAGAGCTCCAGAAGTAGATGTTTTTGACATCATTTTCCTGCCTGAATCCAAAAAGGGTAATAGGAACTGAATCAGCTATTCTCATGTTTCAGTCTCATTAATTACTGAATTCACAACAACTACCTATAGAAGTTTCCTATCAC